>NW_003571054.1:154896-309793 GCF_000001405.40 Homo sapiens | reverse complement strand
GAATTCTCCATGAATGCTGGGAGGACCTACAGGTGCTATGTCTTATGGAGTACCTCCCCCTACCTGTTTTCACACCCCAGGGACCCCCAGGGTTTGTGGTCTCAGGTAAGGAGATCCTACCCCATGAGCACTGAGGCTGGAATGAGACATGTGTGAACATATGAGAAAATGTGTTTAGAACTTCATGTTCGTAACACAGCTTTGGATCACAAGGTCAGGAGATCGAGACCATCCTGGCCAACATGGTGAAACCCCATCTCTACTAAAATACAAAAAATTAGCCGGGCGTGGTGGTGCACGCCTGTAGTCCCAGCTACTCGGGAGGCTGAGGCAGGGGAATCGCTTGAACCCAGGAGGCGGAGATTGCAGTGAGCCGAGATCGCACCAGTGCACTCCAGCTTGGTGACAGAGTGAGACTCCATCAAAAAAAAAAAGAAAAAAGAAAAATTCCTAAATTGTATATACTTATTGTGTAAAGTATGTAGTTTTGAAATATATATACTTGTCTGTTGGGCAAATCAATCTAATTAACATATACATTACTTTCCATATTTCTAATTTTTGTGTGGTAAGAACCCTTAAAATCTACTTTTATAGTGATTTTTAAGGATATAATACACTGTTATGTCTTCCGAGATGGTGAAAATACCAAAATGGTGTGTAGAGATTCATTCTGCATTCTTGTATCCAAGAAAGAACATGGGAGGTGATATGGTTTGGCTGTGTCCCCACCCAAATCTCATCTTGAATTGTAGCTCCCATAATTCCCACGTGCTGTGGGAGCCGGTGGGAGATAACTGAATCATGGAGGCAGTTTCTCCCATTCTGTTCTTGTGGTCGTGAATAAGTCTCAGAAGAGCTGATGATTTTATAAGGGGTTTCCCCTTTTGCTTGGCTCTCATTTCCTCTGTACCTGCCACCACGTGAGATGTTGCTTTCACCTTCCACCATGATTGTGAGGCCTCTGCAGCCATGTGGAACTGTGAGTCAATTAAATCTCTTTTTCTTATAAATTACCTGGTCTCGGGTATGTCTTTATCAGCAGCCTGAAAATGGACTAATACAGGAGTTGAATATGAAAGTGAAGGAAATCTCAGATACTGCTAAAAAGAAGGCAGGCAGCAGCTCATGCAGCAAGACCTGGCAGAAAACCATGAGTGAACTTCCAGTGCCTGAGAGGGAAGTTATGAGACCACATGATACCCATTCTCAGTGGGGAGCCAGGCAATCCAGGCCACTGGGGAGCTCTTTGACCGACCTAAGCCCTGGATCTGACTTAGGGAACAGCGGGAGGACTGTGAAAAGGAAGGGCCCAGGGAAGTGCTCCATGTGTGCTCCCAGACCTGGATGCTGATAGAAAGAGGCCATTCCTGATCCTAACCCTTAGTGGGCAGTGCAAGAACTTGACATCGGCCCGGCGCGGTGGCTCACGCCTGTAATCCCAGCACTTTGGGAGGCCGAGGCAGGCGGATCACGAGGTCAGGAGATCGAGACCATCCTGACTAACACGGTGAAACCCCGTCTCTACTAAAAATACAAAAAATTAGCTGGGCGTGGTGGCTCATGCTTGTAATCCCAGCACTTTGGGAGGCCGAGGCAGGCGGATCACGAGGTCAGGAGTTCAAGACCATCCTGGCTAACACGGTGAAACCCCGTCTCTACTAAAAATACAAAAAATTAGCCGGGCACGGTGGTGGGTGCCTGTAGTCCCAGCTACTCGGGAGGCTGAGGCAGGAGAATGGCACGAACCTGGGAGGCGAAGCTTGCAGTGAGCTGAGATCACGCCACTGCACTCCAGCCTGGGCGACAGAGCGAGACTCCGTCTCAAAAAAAAAAAAAAGAACTTGACATCAAACATGGGTGAGGGTCACTACTTCGGAGAGTCTTGGGCCAGAGATTGACAATCTGGGCTCAAGTAGAAGACAGGTCCCCATGGACAGAACTGAGAGGCAATTGTGGCATGGGCTCCAGACACCAAGCACTGGCGTTGGACACCTCTCTTTGACAGAACCGCGTGGGAAAAGTTGTAGCCTGAGAGGCATGGATTTTACCCAGGAGGCAAGATCTGTGGCCTGGGGTAGTTGAGTGGTCTGACATCAAACCGCATGTGATTTGACGGTCTGAAATTGCTTCCAGCATTGGGCCACAGGGAGGAGCTCTGCTGGGTTGGGAGCATTAGATTAAAGTGAGTCCCACTGTCATTTTCTAGGCTTGGAACCCAACGTGCCCCTCTGGGGAACTCTGCTGTAACTTTGGCATAATAGTCATTGCCCTACTCAGTGCTTGAGTGTCTCTCCAGGGACCTGAGAACCACACATGTAGCCTCTGTGGGGACGGAGCCTGTGCCTAGCATTGGGCCTGAGTACAGGCTTGCCTGGACCAGCCACACTTACCTTCATTTCCCTGCGTTGGAGGCAGAGTACTGATCAAGACCACTGAGTTTTCCACAACCCAACCCATCACTTAGGATACCTGAATGCTTCCGGTTAACAAAGGTCAAGCATAAAGCCCACTGCCAGCGCTACAACTGGCTCTCACCAGCAATTGCCACCTACTGGCCTGGAGGTCAAACCATACAGCACATTACAACGTCTCCTGAAACAAGTGACAGTGATTGGGGAAGAGACAAGTTTCACACAAACTCTGCCACCACCATTGCCCACGCCACCCCAGCTACACCTCTCCTTTGCAGAACCGCTTGAGGAAAGGCTAAACCTTTCTGCAAAGGAGAGGTGTCTAATTCCAGTGCTCGGGGTCTGGAGCCCATGCCACACTTGCCCCTCAGTTCTGTCTGTGGGGACCTGTCCCCTACTTGAGACCAGATTGCCAAGGAGGAGGCCTTAAGTTAACTTGCCTGCTCTGTCACCTACCTGAGCCTGGGAAGGTTGAGGCTGCAGTGATCCAAGATCGTGCCACTGCACTCCACCCTGGGTGACAAAGTGAGACCCTGTCTCAAAAAACAAAAACAAAAAAACTGCTCTGACCTTTTCAAAAGTATCAAGGTCAAGAACAAAGATAAACAAAGGCACCACGCAGTGGAGTAAGAGCCTGTCTATTGCCTATTGCTCTCAAGCGCCATCTACTGGATTACAGCCACACTACAACACCAAAAATCACTTTACTAAATTCTACCGCCTGGAAAACCAAGAGCAAGAATTCAGCAAAGACCCTGTACAGAGCCTTAGTCCCCTGAAAACTTCCAGAAATAAAGCCAACAGACTATACTCAATTTATACCCTTGCAATGAAAGGAATAGCAACCCTCCCAGATGAGAAAAAAAATCAGGGAAATAACTCCTATTATCTCCAAACCAGTCCACGAGCTCCCCAGAAATTGTTCTTAATCAGTATGAATTGTCTGAAATGACAAACGTAGAATTTGGAATCTGGATGGCAAGGAAGGTCATTCAAATCAAGAGCAAAGTTGAAATTCAATCCAAGGAAGCCAAGCAATCCAGTAAAATGATTAATGACATGAACGATTAAATTTTAAGAAACACCCAAACTGAACTTCTCGAGCTGAAAAATTCATGACACGAATTTCATAATACGATGAGAAGCATTAACAGCAGAATAGACCAAGCTGAGGAAAAGAATTTCAAAGCTTGAAGACTTGTTTGAATCAAATCAGTCAAATATAAGGAAAAAATATTTTTAAAAGTGAACAAAATCTCTGAGAAATATGATATTATCTAAAGACACCAAATGTATGACTTGTCAGCATTCCTGAAAGGGGAAGAGAGAATAAGCAACTTGGAAAATATATTTGAGGATATAGTCCATGAATATTTTCCTAAACTCGCTAGAGAGTTTGACACACAAATCCAAGAAACATAGAGACGCCCAGCCAGATAACGGTCTAGATTTGAGGGTATGGTAAAAAAGATGCTTAGAAAATGTCAGAAGTGAGACACAATGGCTCATTTGCTTGTGTCTTGCATTCTCCACCTTGCAATTCTGTACTGATGGCTGTACTATCAGCAGGATCCACTCGTTATTATATTCACTATCAACCTTCAGCCTAAGGGTTTTGGCAGCCATTGATGTTTATTGCTTGTATACTCAACGCACAGGTTATCCAAGCTTTGCAGGGTTAACTATTATTATGCAAAAACTCTACAGCTATTCTTAGGCAAAAACATTACTATAGCTATTACTATACTTATTATTATGTAGAAACATTCTACAGAAAAGAATGTTTCCTGTGTAACACTTCAGATAAACAAAAGAGATCTTGCTTCTTGCCTTCATTTCCACGTTTTTGATGTGGAGATTTTGTTCTTTTCCCATTCCTCATATTTGAGGGGTTTTTTGTTTTTTAATTTTGTTTTTAACAGTAGTAAACTGATAGGCTTTGAACATATTCATTAGTTTTAATACACTACCTATATTATTTGATTCTATAAATATTCCACATTTTGCCATTGGGAACTTTTCATGATAGACTTTATGTTCAGGTAACATGAATCTGATGGTATGTGGTGATGTCTTTGCTTTCTTGCATGATAAGAAGTTCTGACTTCATCTCCTGTATTTTCTCTCCGAATGTGGAGTCAGCTATTTCTCTAGGATGAAATTTAGAATTTTTGACCATACATATTTTAAGAATTAAACATTTTTGAGGGTGTATTCACTTATGTTTTACTATATATAGTCAAAATTATATAATAATATTAACTATATGTCACTACATAATATATAATTTGATTTAAAAGTATACATTTATTATATAATATGATAAATAATATATGCATTATAAAATATATGGTCAAGTAATTTTGCTTACATTCTAGTACAAATAATTCTTCCTTGTTTAGTAATGCCCTAATTTGATAGGAACTCAATTCTATTTCCTTTTTTAAGGTATTATCTTTAGATTTATAAGTTATATTTAAAAATATTTTATAGTATAGACATTCAGGAATATGTTTATATATGTATATATATATTTTTTTAAACGGAGTCTTGCTCGTCGCCCAGGCTAGAATGCTGTGGGTGGCAAGCCACCCAGGTGCCGAGGCAAGAGACAGAGGACACGAGCTGTTCCAGTATAATAAAATATAAAACAAGAATAGTTATACCAGATATAGATCTTAGTTATGATTATATATGAATATCATTAATCATTTGTTTGTAGCAGTTACCCTTTATCCCAATATTATAATAATCCTCCCTCTGTAATCATAACCTAGGAAAAGCCAGGCCATACAGAGATAGGAGCTGAGGGGACACAGTGAGAAGTGACCAGAAGACAAGAGTGCGAACCCTCTGTCATGCCCGGACAGGGCCACCAGAGGGCTCCTTGGTCTAGCGGTGACGCCAGCGTCTGGGAAGACGTCCGTTGCCAAGCGGACCGTGGTCTAGCGGTAGCGTAAGTGGCAAGGAACAACACCCGCTACTTAGCAGACTGGGGAAGGGAGTCTCCCTTTCCCTGGGGGAGTTTAGAGAAGACTCTGCTCCTCCACCTCTTGTGGAGGGCCTGACATCAGTCAGGCTCGCCCGCAGTTATCCGGAGGCCTAACCGTCTCCCTGTGATGCTGTGCTTCGGTGGTCACGCTCCTAGTCCGCCTTCATGTTCCATCCTGTACACCTGGCTCTGCCTTCTAGATAGCAGTAGTAAATTAGTGAAAGTACTAATAGTCCCTGATATGCAGAAATAATGGCGTAAGCTGTCTTTCTCTCTGTCTCCTCTCCCTCTCTGCCTCGGCTGCCAGGCAGGGAAGGGCCCCCTGTCCAGTGGACACGTGACCCACGTGACCTTACCTATCATTGGAGGTGACTCACACTCTTTACCCTGCCCCTTCTGCCTTGTATCCAATAAATAACAGCGCAGCCCAACATTCGGGGCCACTACCGGTCTCCGCGCATTGGTGGTAGTGGTCCCCCGGGCGCAGCTGCCTTTTCTTTTATCTCTTTGTCTTGTGTCTTTATTTCTACACTCTATCGTCACCACACACAGGGAGAGACCCACCGACCCTGTGGGGCTGGTCCCTACAAATGCAGTGGCACAGTCTCAGCTCACTGCAATCTCCACCTCCCAGGTTCAAGCAATTCTCCTGTCAGAGCCTCCCGAGTAGCTGGGATGACAGGAGTGTGCCACCATGCCCAGCTAATCTTTTTATTTTCAGTAGAGGTGGGGTTTCACCATGTTGGCCAGGCTGGTCTTGAACTCCTGATCTTGCGATTCGCCCACCTCAGCCTCCCAAAGGTATGTTTATATTTCTATACCAAAACAAGAAACAAGACACAATGATGTCAGTCTAGCTTTATTCTGTCTCCTCTGCACTGTTTTCTCTCTCTCTCTCAACTACCCACTTTTAAAGGTATTGATTAATCTTTCATTTTAAAAAATAGATTACAAAATACACACACAATGACATAACACTATACCATTTTTCTCTGGTTCTGAGTAAAATAAAGTTAACTGTTGATAACGTCCTGAATCTTTCTTTTTCTTTTCTCCCTGCCACCCCAACTACACAACTACACGTCTTGGAAGGTCAGCCTTCAAGATAACTCATTCATCTCACCCACAGCTGCCCAGGACTCCACTGTGGGGAGGCCCAGGAATTTATTGAGTCTTTCTTTGATTGAAATTAAGTGGGTTCAAGTCATTGTAGTTTTACAAATCATAATTTTGGAATAAATAGCTTTGTAATTGTACAAGTTTGTTCTTAATGTTTGTATTCACCTGGAATAATGAGTTTCGTGAGAAAAAGGCATTTTCTGGGTGTCAGGCCTCTGAGCCCAAGCTAAGCCATCATATCCCCTGTGACCTGCACGTACACATCCAGATGGCTGGTTCCTGCCTTAACTGATGACATTCCACCACAAAAGAAGTGAAAATGGCTTGTTCCTGCCTTAACTGATGACATTATCTTGTGAAATTCCTTCTCCTGGCTCATCCTGGCTCAAAAGCTCCTCTACGGAGCACCTTGTGACCCCCACACCTGCCCACCAGAGAACAACCCCTCTTTTTCCTTTACCTACCCAAATCCTATAAAATGGCCCCACCCCTATCTCCCTTCGATGACTCTCTTTTTGGACTCAGCCCACCTGCACCCAGGTGATTAAAAGCTTTACTGCTCACACAAAGCCTGTTTAGTGGTCTCTTCACACGGAAGCGCATGAAACCGGGTACAGTGAAAACACTCAATTGTATTTTTCAGTCTACAGATTCCTCTGATGAAAATAGAATCAAACTCCAACATCTCCTCTAAATGGAGATGGTTTCTGTTAACTTAAATTGGAGTATTACCTTTCTCATTCAGACCGCTGCTGGAATCCTTGGAAATTCTCTACTCCTTTACTTTTATAGCTTTACTTTTGTCCCCACACAAATAGTGAGACCCAGAGACCTGATTCTCAGCCAGCTGGTCTTAGCCAACAACCCGGTTCTTTTCTCTAAAGGGATCCCTCAGACAGTGGCGGCTTTTGGATTGAAACCTTTCCTGGATGAGGCTGGATGTAAACTTGTCTTCTACCTACACAGAGTGGCCAGAGGGGTTTCCCTCAGCACCACCTGCCTCTTCAGTGGCTTCCAGGCCATGAAGCTTCACCCCAGTATCTCTGGGAAGATGGAACTCTGAATTAGATCCCCAAAGTTTATAGTTTTCTGCTGTTTCCTCTGTTGGATCTTGAATCTTGTTGTAAATATTTATACTGCAAAGTATATAACTGACCCAATAAAGAGCAAAAACATGAGTATGGAAAAAATGTATAGATACTGCTCCTCACCCTATCCAGGAAGATCGCTGTATGTAATAGTTGCAGTCATTTACTGCTGCACAGATGGTATATGTGTCTCCCGTATATGTGTCTCCCTCATGATCTGCACCAGCAGCTCCATGGTCCTCGTCCTGCATAGATACAAGCAGAGAGTCCAACATGTTCGCAGCCGCAACCTCTCCCGCAGAACATCTCATGAAACCACAACCACACACACCATCCTCATCCTGGTGAGCATGTTTGTCTCCTCTCATGCTCTAGCTGATATTTTGTCATTGTGCGTAACCCAGATTCAGAATCCAAGCCAATGGCTGAGAAGTACCTCTTTCCTGGCGTCTGCAGGATTCCCGACATTCAGCCCCTTTGTGTTCATTGTCAGTGACGCCCGAGTGTCACGGTTCTACTTTGTGTGCTAGATAAGGAAGAGAAATGCCCCAGGTATGGTCTCTGGGCTATAAATTGCCTCCAGACCATTGCATCCTCTATTTAATCACTTCCTCCACCCCGGTGTTTGAAGGCTCACACATCAGGCCTGTGAAGGTACACCCACACGCTGCCCTGGCCATTCAGAATCCCCAAACCTCCCACTCTGGGGTATGCAAGTGCACAGCAAAGACTCCACTTGGGAGCAATTATGCAACAGCTTGTATTCAAGTAATCTCACATGAAATAACATTAAAATGAAATTAAGTATAATAAAACCCAACATCTGGACAGAGTTTATTTTTGGAAGAAGTTTAATCAAAGGCAGCCATAAGCATGTAAATAAATTCCAACTCATTTACTCATTGTAAATTATTTTTATTTGTAACATTTATTTGTAAAAATTATTTGTAAACTCATTGTAAATTAAAATATTAAATTTACAATGGACATGCAAAAAAAGACTTGTAAATAAATGCATTATGTAGTAATACTAATTTCTTTATTGGGTCTCAAAGGAAACTTTTAACTTAAGACACTTTTATTTTACCAACAAATAACAATATTTCTCTCAGAATTATTCTTTGTAACACCACAACGGCTGTAACCCATCCAACTTCACTCAAAGAAAGTGAAGTAAGTGCTCTAAAGAAAAAAATATCCTGGCCGGGCACGGTGGCTCACACCTGTAATCCCAGCACTTTGGGAGGCCAAAGCAGGTGGATCACCTGAGGTGAGGAATTCGAGACCAGCCTGACCAACAGGGTGAAATCCTGTCTCTACTAAAAATACAAAAATTAACTGGGCGTGGTGGCTCATGCCTGTCATCCAGCTACTTGGGAGACTGAGACAGGAGAATCACTTGAACATGGGTAGCAGAGGTTGCAGTGAGCTGAGGTCAGGCTGTTGCACTCCAGCCTGGGTGACAGAGCGAGACTCCATCTCAAAGTAAAAGAAAAGAAAAAGATGAGAGAAGCTCATACCTTCAGAACTGAAACATAGGGAAAGAGGAAGCAGAAATTAAAGCAAATCGAAATTTCATTGCGTCATACGGTCAGGAAGGCAACGAAACAAAAGTTTGCAGAAGGGCTAAAAGTCACTGTCAGGAACTGCATTAACGTCATTACATTTAGGGTTTTTTGTGGGTTTTCTTTTTAGATTTTAGCAAAAAATTCATGAAGCAACTCTAAAATACTTATACTTCAATATGGTAAATTAAATTTATATTAGGACTTCAAATATAATCTTTTCCTCTCTGTTCTGAGTGTCATGCTTGTGACATTGATAGAAGGTGGACTCTAGGCAATAAAAGAAAAAATTCAATTTTTTACTGATAAATTCAGGTACAATAACCGCCTGTTATTTTATTGTGGACCATTTTTTCTCTTTTTTTTTTTTTTGAGACGAAGCTTCTCTCTGTCGCCTAGGCTGGAATGCAGTGGCACCATCTCGGCTCACTGCAACCTTCACCTCCTGGGTTCAAGTGATTCTCCTGCCTCAGACTCCCCAGTAGCTGGGATTACAGGTGCCCACCATCATGCCCGGCTAATTTTTATATTTTTAATAGAGATGGGGTTTCACCATGTTGGCCAGGCTTGTCTCGAACTCCTGACCGCAGGTGATCTGTCCGCCTTGGCCTCACAAAGTGCTAGGATTACAGGCGTGAGTCACCGCACCTGGCCCATTTTCTCTTCATGATAATTCATGAGTAGCTGGGATTACAGGCACCCACCACCATGCCCAGCTAAGTTTTTGTATTTTCAGTAGAGACGGTGTTTCACCATGTTGGCCAGGCTGGTCTCAAACTCCTGACCTCAGGTGATCCACCCGCTTCGGCCTCCCAAAGTTCTGAGATTACAGGCGTGAGCCACCTCACACGGCTTTATTGTTGTTGTTGTTTTTAATGTTACTCTATTTTTTTAGATTCAGGCGCTACACGCGCAGGTTCCTTACATGGATGCATTGCGTTCTGGTGGGGTTTAGGTGTCTAGTGCTCGCATTACCCATACGGCTCACCAGATATTACGGGGGAGGCAGAGGGGACACTCCCCCATCCCCAAAAGCCTAAATAACATCAAAAATCTTCCACATGGGGCCCAGGTGAAGGTCTCTGCAGGATCCCCCAGCTTGGGTGGGCTCAGCTGTCACCCAGGGGTCCGGTGCGGGGACTGGTAACCCATGGGCCTGTCGGTTGGAGCGGGGGTCTCACCTGCTTGCCCATCGCTGAGCTCCACCACTATCCAAGGAAAGATGAAGGCGCCAAAAGCAAAGCCTTTGGTTAGTGTGACAGCTCTGCAGTATTAGCAGCTGTTTACTGTTACAGCCTGTGTGACCGCTCTTGGAGCCCTGATCACAGACTGCCCCGCCCCGCTGTCTCTCCGACTGTCTCAGCAACCTCTCGCTGTCTAGCCCAGTGCCACCTCTCCGTGTCTTTCACCCATTGCCACCCCTCCGCTGATCACTGTCACCATCTCTGCTGTCTAGCCATCTCGCCTCTCTCCTAATTGTCCCTGCCTCTGCGGAAAGTCTCTCTGCCTCTCACTCGCTGTCTCCGTCATCCCTTCCTGGTAACTAGATGATGCGGGGAAGGGGAGCTCCCAAATCGGGGCATAGCCCAGAAGAGTTCTTGGCTTTGCCTAAGAAAGAATTTAGGCCGGTCGCGGTGGTCCACACCTGTCATCCCAGCACCTTGGAAGGCTGAGGCGGGCAGATCATTTGAGGTCAGGAGTCTGAGACCAACCTGGCCAACACGGTGAAACCCCGTCTCTACTAAAGACTACAAAAATTAGCAGGGTGGGGTGGCGGGTGCCTGTAATTCCAGCTACTTGGGAGCTGACGCAAGAGAATCGCTTGAACTCCGGAGGCAGAGATTGCAGCGAGCCGAGATGGCGCCATTGCACTTCAACCTGGGTGACAGACTAAAACTCTATCTCAAAAACAAAAAAAAAAGGAATTTAAGGGTGAGCTGGTGTTACACAACCCCTTAAGGGTTACGGCAACCTCTAGTCAAGTGGCCGAGCACAGCAGCAGCAGAGGTACTGCTCCTAGGGTGGCAGGGCTGCCCCACAGGCGGTGTGCCCAGAATAGCAGCTCAGAAACACACCTGCAGCCACTCTTGTACCTGCTTTTAATTATATGCAAATTAAAGGTCAGGTATGCAGAAATTCCTAGAAAAAGGGCGGTAACTTCCGGTCAGTGGGTCTTTGCCGTGGAAAAGGGCGGTACCTTCCGGGGGTTGCCATGGCAACGGTAAACCGGGATGCCACACTGGTGGGCGTGTCTTAAGAAGAGCTGCTTCCACCCTCTGCCCTGTTTTAGCTAGTTCTCAATCTGGCGTGGTGTCTGAGTCCCCGCCTCCAAAGTCCCACATCCTACCTCAGAACTTCTGAGAAAGCCTTTTCCCCTTCCGCCCTGGCCTTTCCCATCCGAATAAGAAGGAGCTGCCTGGAAGTGACCCCCAAAGCCCTTTCATTTCTGACCTTCTGGGGCATCTGGGTTGCGGCTCATCCTAGACCTGCTGCCGTCCCCCAGCCCTCCCTTGGCCTGGTCAGCTCCTACCAATAACTGTGTGTTGCAAGGGTTAGAAAGCCAGGAGAGGCAGCTGCAGGTACATGTAATTGTAATTGTATCCATCAATGTTGGGGTCTGAGATTCGTGAGATGAAGCCACAGTATTAGGAGAAAGCAAAGATTTGTAAAAACCCCACTGTTTAGAATCTCCCCTCTCTCACACATCACACACTGTTTCAGATTTTCTACTAAAAGCAACACCCAGCACAGCTGTGCATGACTCCCAGGCCCCTACCCTGTCCTGCAGGATATGTGATGAGCAGAGGAAGGAGAGCAGGCTGGATCAGGAGGATTTGGGGTCCAGCCAGACTCAGACATGGGGAAGACGCTGGGGCTGATGGAGGAGGAAGAGAGGCAAGCAAGTTGGAGAGAGGACAGATGGACGCTCCCTTGGGAGCTCTTATTTCTCATTTCCAAGAGCCCCTGAGGATGAAGCCCCTCACCCACACCTGCGGGGTCCCTGGGTCCTCTTATGACAGGAGAGGAGGCTGCTCGGGCCTCGGTGGGATCTGACTGGGATGAGGCTGGAGTCCGCCCCAGACCTGCTCCTTTAGAGAGAAGCACCCCACTTGTGGGTGCACCTCACACCGCCCCTCCTGTGCTCACCTGAAGGCCTCTGTGCTCAGGGAACCCCTGAGAGTAAGGAGGGGCCACGCACCTGCTCCCTGGATGAGTTAGGGAGTTATTCACAGCGCGGCTTGTGTGTCATTCATTTCTACCCTGCCTTTTCTGTGCACACTTGTCTATTGTTACTCTCTGTTCTTCTGAAACATTTAAAGCAATACATGAATATATAAACTTATCATTTTAATTTGGGACATGATTTCATTTATATATTTGCTTTAGAAAATAGTTTCTTATTTATGTTAAGTTTTCCTATCCTAAACTTTTAAAATTGAGGTTTATTGATGAACTTAAGAAGTGTCTTGAAATTTTATTTATAAGAATTTTATATATTTATTTCAATTTAAACAATTATTCAATCACTTGAATAATCTGTAAATGAGGTCTTTGATTCCTTATAAATAAAAGCTAGGTATACATGATACAGTAATTGGTTTGAGTTCATTTACTTTATTTTATACCAACTTACTACAGAATTTCTTAATTCCAATTATTTTCAATTGATCCCCTCTAATTTACTAATAAAATGTACATAACTCACACAAAAGTTGAAATTTCACTTTATTTCTAAATTGCATTCCAATTGCTGTCTCCCAGGCTGGAGTGCAGTGGCGTGATCTCGGCTCACTGCAAGCTCCACCTCCCAGGTTCACGCCATTCTCCTGCCTCAGCCTCCCGAGTAGCTGGGACTACAGGTGCCCGCCACCACGCCTGGCTAATTTTTTGTGTTTTCAGTAGAGACAGGGTTTCACCATGTTAGCCAGGATGGTCTCGATCTCCTGACCTTGTGATCCACCCGCCTCAGCCTCCCAAAGTGCTGGAATTACAGGCGTGAGCCACCGCGCCGGGCGGATTATTCTCTAGTTCTTTTAGTTGTGATGTTAGGTTGTTAATTTGAGATCACCCATCACCACACCTGGCTAATTCTTTTGTATTTTTAGCAGAGACGGGGTTTCACCATGTTGGCCAAGCTGGTCTTGAACTCCTGACCTCGTAATCCACCTGCCTCAGCCTCCCAAAGTGCTGGGATTAGAGGCGTGAGCCACTGCAACTGGCCTATATGTCTATTTTTATACCAGTGTCATGCTCTTTTGGTTACTATAGCCTTGTAAACTTTGAGTCAGTTAATGTGATGTCTCTAGCTTTGCTCTTTTTGCTTAGGATTGCTATGGCTGTTTGGGCTCTTTTTTTGGCTCAATATAACTTTTAAGGTTTCTTTTTCTAAGTCTGTGAAAAATGAAGGTATTTTTGTAAGGACTGCATTAAATCTGTAGATTGCTTTGGGCAATGTGGTCATTTTAATCATAGTAATTATTCTGATTTATGAGAATGGGATGTTTTTCCATCTGTTTGTGTCTTCTACAATTTCTTTCATCACTGGTTTGAAGTTTTCCTTGTAGAAATCTTTCACCTCCTTGGTTAAATATATTCCCAGGTGTTTTATTTTTGTGCACCCACTGTCCATGGGATTGCCTCCTTGACTTGGTTCTCAGCTTCGTCATTATTGGAGTACAGAAATGCTACTGATTTCTGTACTTTGATTCTATATCCTGAAACTTTACTGCATTTCTTTATCAAATCTAAGAGTGTTTTGGCTGAGTCTTTAGGGTTTTTGAGGTATAAGATAATATCATCAGCGAACAGAAATAATTTCACTTTTTTTTTTTCCAATTTAGATGTGTTTTATTTCTTTGTCTTGCCTGATTGCTCTGGCAAGGACCTCCAGTACTACGTTGAAGAGTGGTGACAGTGCACATCTTTGTCATGCTCCAGTTCTTAGGGGGAATGCTTTCTATTTTTCCCTGTTTGCGATATTGGCTGGGATTTCGTCACCTATCGCCTTTAGTATTTTGAGGTATGTCCCTCTGTACCTTGTTTGTTGGGAATTTTTATCATGAAGGGATGCAGGATTTTATCAAATGCTTTTTCTGCACCTCTGTGACATAATCATAGAGACTGAAACCAGAATCCTCTCATGTCCCAACCCCTCATGTCTTAATCTAGTCTAGACATTAACCGTGATTGAGCCTCTCCCATGACCCAAGCACGGCTGACCCCCACATCCGCTGTGATGAGTGAGGTTCATGACAACAGGCTCCACACAGGGAAACTGAGGCTCAGAGATGAGACATTACTGCCCAAGATCACACAAGCCGTAGATAATAATCGGGAATTACATAGAAATCAACTCCCCACCAGCCGGGCGCAGTGGCTCACGCCTGTAATCCCAGCACTTTGGGAGGCCGAGGTAGGCGGATCATGAGGTCAGGAGATCGAGACCATCCTGGCTAACATGGTGAAACCCTGTCTCTAATAAAAATACAAAAAAATTAGCCGGGCGTGGTGGCGGACGCCTGTAGTCCCAGCTACTCGGGAGGCTGAGGCAGGAGAATGGTATGAACCCGGGAGGTGGAGCTTGCAGTGAGCCGAGATAGCGCCATTGCACTCCAGCCTGGGCGACAGAGCGAGACTCGGTCTCAAAAAAAAAAAAAAGGAAAGAAAGAAAGAAAGAAAGAAAGAAATCAACTCCCCACTCAGCAAACCAGAGCCCAAACCTAAGTAATGTACCCACAAAAATTAAAAAATAAATAGATACATAAGAATGAAAATTTTAAAACAAAGCCTAAGTAATTACTCCAAAAATGTTGAACATGGATTGAGGTATAGAGGGAAGCCCAAAGAAACAGAAGGCACAGTGGAGGCAGAAAAGATTCAGAGGTTTGTTACTGGAGGTGGGGTGGAGGTGGACGCTGTTGCAAAAAAAAAAAAAAAAAAAAATTAAGGGAAGTACAAGAAAGAGAGTACTATTGGTTAGAAAGAAAACACTCCAGGGCCACTAAAGGGTCATGATTTCCTCCCCTATTTCCCTGCATTTCTCCTCTGTGCTCATTGCCACATGCAGCTCAGCCTGGGCTACACAGCCAGGTGTCAGATGTGTCTCTGCTGATCTGAGTCTGCCTGTGGCATGGACCTGCATCTTCCCTGAAGCATCTCCAGGGCTGAAAAATCACTGACCATGGTAAGGACCCCGCAACGCTGAGCTCATGGACGGGCTGAAGGAGGGAGGGAGACCCCATGGGGAGGCTCTGAGAGGGAGGAGGTCACCCTCGCCTGAAAGGGGCTGACTCGGGAAGGCACCGGGTCTATTTGCTGCTGTGTCCCGGCTCTCAGTGAGATAAAGATAAATCAGGCAGACAGTGGCCCGGGGAAGGGAGACCCCACTTCTGTCTGAAATGTCTGCAGAGAGCCTGGTGCCTGTAGTCTCAACTACTTCACTTCAGCCCTGGGGAAATGAGAGCCAGGCTCCTGGGGAGAGCAGTTCCCCTTTCTGTGGGCTGAGAATGAGAAAATCCTATGACAAGAAGGACCCAGCCTCCGAGCTGCCACACCCTGTGTGTCTCTCTGTCCTGCCAGGCACCATGGTCTCATCCATCTGCACAGCTGCAGCCAGTGGGAGGAGACGCCGTGAGCCCTGCCCTCATGGTTCTGCTCTGCCTCGGTGAGATTGGAAGCCTCAGGGAAGGGGCACCCTAGTCTGGGAGGGACCCCACCCCATAACGAGGCCCTTGTCTATCAGGAAACTCCAGGGTTTTAGGAGGTTCCCAGGCAGGGGAGGACCTGCTCAGGCTTCAGAGGCAAATCTCTCACAGGGAACTCTCTTCCAGGGCTGAGTCTGGGCCCCAGGACCCACGTGCAGGCAGGTGAGTCTGTCCCCAGCTGTCCCAGGTCCCTCCTCCTCAATGGGGACAAAGGGCCACCCATGGGCAGCTGGAGGTGAAGACCGCAGTTCTGGGTGATTGATGGGGACGTCTGGAGGGTCCTGGGGCTGAGAGCTGGGATCTGAGGGGTGGGGAGGTCTTGGAGCCCAGACTCTGATTTCCTTCCAGGGAACCTCTCCAAAGCCACCCTCTGGGCTGAGCCAGGCTCTGTGATCAGCCGGGGGAACTCTGTGACCATCCGGTGTCAGGGGACCCTGGAGGCCCAGGAATACCGTCTGGTTAAAGAGGGAAGCCCAGAACCCTGGGACACACAGAACCCACTGGAGCCCAAGAACAAGGCCAGATTCTCCATCCCATCCATGACAGAGCACCATGCAGGGAGATACCGCTGTTACTACTACAGCCCTGCAGGCTGGTCAGAGCCCAGCGACCCCCTGGAGCTGGTGGTGACAGGTGAGAGGACACTCTGGGGTCCCAGCTCCAGGCTCTGCCCTCAGGAAGGGGGTCGGCTCTCAGGGGTGTCTCCCTTTCACAGCCCAGCCCTGGGGATGATGTGGGAGGTGGGAGCCCCATTTAACACGGTGCCTCCTTCTCTCCTAGGATTCTACAACAAACCCACCCTCTCAGCCCTGCCCAGTCCTGTGGTGACCTCAGGAGAGAACGTGACCCTCCAGTGTGGCTCACGGCTGAGATTCGACAGGTTCATTCTGACTGAGGAAGGAGACCACAAGCTCTCCTGGACCTTGGACTCACAGCTGACCCCCAGTGGGCAGTTCCAGGCCCTGTTCCCTGTGGGCCCTGTGACCCCCAGCCACAGGTGGATGCTCAGATGCTATGGCTCTCGCAGGCATATCCTGCAGGTATGGTCAGAACCCAGTGACCTCCTGGAGATTCCGGTCTCAGGTGAGGAAGCCACAGTCTTCTCTAGTACAATTCAGGGAAGCCAGACAGGTTGTGGAGAGCTTTACAGGCAGGGCAGCCCCTGCTAAGAAAGACAAAAAGGGGAAGGAGAACACAGAAATCCTAGGGACACAAATTCAGGGTGAGGAAAACAAAGCAAGGGCTGGGCACAGTGGCTCACACGTGTAATCTCAGCACTTTGGGAGGCCGAGGCAGGTGGATCACCTGATGTCAGGAGTTCAAGACCAGCCTGGCCAACATGGTGAAACCCCATTTCTACTAAAAATACAAAAATTAGCTGGGCGTGGCGGCACACACCTGTAATCCCAGCTACTTGGGAGGCTGAGGCAGGAGAATCGCTCGAACCCGGGAGGCGGAGGTTGCAGTGAGCCGAGACTGTGTCATTGCACTCCAGCCTGGGTGACAGAGCGAGACTCTGTCTCAAAAAAAAAAAAAAGAAAAAGAAAAACAGAGCAAGGGAGACTCCAGAAGGAGGTTTATAGGAGGAACCAGCCCCTGCAGTCCCGGCTCCTTTATCCTTCCAGGTGTGTCTAGAAAGCCCTCCCTCCTGACCCCGCAGGGCCCTGTTGTGGTCCCTGGAGAGAACCTGACCCTCCAGTATCACTCTGATGTTGGCTATGACAGGTTTGCTCTCTACAAGGAGGACAGACGTGACCTCCTCCACTGGCCGGCAGCCCCAGGCTGGGCTCTCCCAGGCTGACTTCCCCCTGAGCTTGGAAGTGACCCCCAAAGCCCCCTCATTTCTGACCTTGTGGGGCATCTGAGATGTGGCTCATCCTAGACCTAGAAAAGCAGCTCCCATCACTCACCCTAAGACCTGGTCTGCTCTTGCCAATAGCTATGCCTTGCAAGGGTTAGAAAGCCAAGAGGGGCAGCTGCAGGTACATGTAATCATATCCATCAGTGCTGGGGTCTGAGGTTCGTGAGACGAAGCCACAATATTATGAGAAAGCAAAGATGTGTAAAAACCCCACTGTTTAGAATCTCCTCTCTCTCACATGTCACACGAAGCGTTTCAGATTTTCTACTAAAAACCATGCAGCTTTACAAGACTCCCAGGCCCCTACCCTATCCTGCGGGATGAGTGATGAGTAGAGGAAGGAGAACAGACCTGGTCAGCAGGATTTGGGGTCCAGGCCTGACTTGGAACATGGGGAAGATGCTGGGGCTGATGGAGGAGGAAGAGAGGCAGGCGAGTTGGAGAGAGGACAGACGGATGCTCCCTTGGCAGCTCTCACTTCTCATTTCCAAGAGCCCCTGAGGATGGAGCCCCTCACCCACACCTGCGGGGTCCCTGAGCCCACTCAGGACAGGGGAGGAGGCTGCTCAGGCCTCGGTGGGATCTGACGGTGATGAGGCTGGAGTCCACGCCAGACCTGCTCCTTTAGAGAGAAGCGCCCCAGCTGTGGGTACCACTCACACCGCCCCTCCTGTGCTCACCTGGAGGCCTCTGTGCTCAGGGCACCCCTGAGACAAAGGAGGGGCCGCGCACCTGCTCCCTGGAGGAAGTTAGGAACTTATTCACAGCACGTCTTGTCTGCTGTTCATTGCTGCTCTGCATTTTCTGGGCATACTTGTTTATTTTTTCTCTCTTCTTCTGAATCTTTTAAAACAATATTTGAATATTTAAATTTGTCTCTTTAAGATATATGGATTTATGATTTAAAAACAAGTAATTCCACTCCCATTGTCCTGGGGGCATAATTCAATATTTACATTTGCTGTATAAAATTAGTTGTTAATAGCAAGTATTTCTATTATTAATATATAAAATTGAAGTTTATTAATGAAGTTAATAAGTGTTTTCAAGTTCCGTTCATAAGAATGTGTACATTTAGTCTAATTTAAAAAATTCTTCAACTACTTTAATTATTCTTAAGTGAAGTATTTGATTCATGTATATTTCTTTTGTTTGTTTGTTTGTTTTTGTTTTTGAGATGGAGTCTTGCTCTGTCGCCCAGCCTGGAGTGCAGTGGCGCGATCTCGGCTCACTGCAAGCTCCACCTCCTGGGTTCACGCCATTGTCCTGCCTCAGCCTCCCGAGTAGCTGGGACTACAGGCACCCACCACCATGCCGGGCTAATTTTTTTGTATTTTTAGTAGAGATGGGGTTTCACTGTGTTAGCCAGGATGGTCTCGATCTCCTGACCTCGTGATCCACCCACCTAGGCCTCCCAAAGTGCTGGGATTACAGGCGTGAGCCACCATGCCCAGCCTGATTCATTTATATTTCTAAGTAAGATATACACATGAGAAAGCTTTTAGTTTGAGTATATTCATTTAATTTCATTTTAGCTTGCTATAACATTTTTCCCTTTCAATTATCTTTCAACTGATCTCCCCAAATTTACTGATAAAATTTATATTAACTATAAGAAAATTGAAATTTTATTTTTTATTTCTAAACCGCATATCAATTTTTGTCACTTCAAGTATTAATATGCATGTAACTGCATCTTAAATAAATATCTAAAGTTTTACATATATACATATTTATGTATGGTTATATAAGTTACATCTGAATATAAGTGTAGGTATATCTGCATATATTTTTTATACGTATATCTACATGCTTAATGTATTTGACATGGAGGGCTTTTACATGTTTGTTATTGGTCTTCTCACCTAGACTCACACTTTATAAAAGCAGAAATTTTTGTTTGTTTGTTTGAGATGGAGTCTCTTGCCCTGTTGCCCAAGCTGGAGTGCAATGGCATGACCTGGGCTCACTGCAACCTCTGCCTCCCAGGTTCAAGCGATTCTCCTGTCTCAGCCTCCCAAGTAGCTGGGATTACAGGCAGGTGCCACCATGCCCGGCTCATTTTTTTATTTTTAGTAGAGACGGGGTTTCACCATGTTGGCCAGGCTGGTCTCGAACTCCTAACCTCGTGATCTGCCCGCCTTGGCCTCCCAAAGTGCTGGGATTACAGGCATGAGCCACCACGCCTGGCCCTAAAAGCAGAAATTGTTTTATGAGCCTCTGTAACACCATATATATATATATATATATATATATATATATATATATATATATATACACACACACACACACACACACACACACACATTTATATACATACGTATATATATATGACTGACTATATGAATAGTTAGCTGACTAGAGACTTATTGTATGATGAAACACCAGGTGAGGTGGTTGAGGTGGCGTCAAGGGGAGGCAGCTGTTTGTGATTCTGACATTCAGGAGCCCCTGAGGACCAACCCGTCATCCATGGAGCCTGGGTCCTCAGCTGGTGGATCCGTGAAACTCTCATCTCTGGGGGAATTGGCTTATGTGCTCCTGTGTCCCAGGCTGCACAGAGAGCACAAAGGGCTCAGTGACTTCTGGGGGCCACTTTCCTTGCAGATCCTGAGCTTTCACGGTGCAGGAAAGCTCTTTCCCAAATGACTCAGGAGCAAAGTTTAAATTCAAAGAACAAAGGAAAGCTGAAATAATTCAGTGAGGAGACTGGAGGGAACCCTGCTCCAGCAGAGGGAGGGTTTATGGAGGAACTCCATAAAAGTCATGTTGAGAGGCACAGGGAACTAGGAGAATGCAGAGCTCAGGGGAGAGGCTGGGCTCAGATTGCTTCAAGAACTTCTCCTTCCCCTTCCCCTGTTTTGATTTTCAGGAGCAGCTGATAACCTCAGTCCGTCACAAAACAAGTCTGACTCTGGGACTGGTGAGTGAGGAGATGCTCTCAGTTATGGAACTGGCACAGAGGGTCAGGTCCTGTCAAGATGATATGGGTGCCCTGGGGAGACATCCAGGGGTCCTGGGTGATACTGATCTGCCCTGACCTCTGTGACCTCTTTGTCCACCATCCCCAGCCTCACACCTTCAGGATTACGCAGTAGAGAATCTCATCCGCATGGGCATGGCCGGCTTGATCCTGGTGGTCCTTGGGATTCTGATATTTCAGGATTGGCACAGCCAGAGAAGCCCCCAAGCTGCAGCTGGAAGGTGAACAGAAGAGAGAACAATGCACCATTGAATGCTGGAGCCTTGGAAGCGAATCTGATGGTCCTAGGAGGTTCGGGAAGACCATCTGAGGCCTATGCCATCTGGACTGTCTGCTGGCAATTTCTTTTTTTCTTTCTTTTCTTTTCTTTCTTTTTTTTTTTTTTTTTTTTTTTTTTGAGATGGAGTCTTGCTCTGTCACCAGGCTGGAATGCAGTGGCGCAATCTGGGCTCACTGCAACCTCCGCCTCTCGGGTTCAAGTGATTCTCCTGCCTCAGCCTCTGGCAATTTCTAGAGGGAGGAATGGGTGTTTGAGTGCAGAGACACTGGTCTGGGGTGATCCATGGAGGACCATTAAAATGTGACACCTTTCCTTTCTATTAATGTTGACTTCCCTTGGTTGGATTCCCTTCTCTTCCCAGCCCGAGACATGAGGCTACATCCCACATGGCAGGCAGCGTTGGGTCCACATCTCTGCACACCTGCATGCTCTGGTCCTTGGCGTGTCACACAGTCCACTTCAATTCTCATTATCACACTCCCTGTGTGCTTTACTGAGCCTCCATCTCTTCAGTTCAGAGTTCCACACCTGAACCAGTAACTAAATCCATGGGAGAAGATCAGATGCCCTCCAGGAAAAGATAAATCCAAAATGGCGTCCTAACCTCCTGTCTGTAGCCTTCAAGCCCCATTCGCTCTTTTTTTTTTTTTGAGACGGAGTCTCGCTTTGTCACCCAGGCTGGAGTGTAGTGGCACTATGTCGGCTCACTGCAACCTCCACCTCCCGAGTTCAAGCAATTCTTCTTCCTCAGCCTCCCAAGTAGCTGGGACTACAGGCGCATGCCACCATGCCAAGCTAATTTTTGTATTTTTAGTAGTGACAGGGTTTCACCATGTTGGCCAGGATAGTCTCGATCTCCTGACCTCGTGATCTGCCCGCCACAGCCTCCCAAAGTGCTGGGATTAAAGGTGTGAGCCACCGCACCTGGCCTGTAGTGACTGGGTTTCACCATGTTGGCCAGGATAGTCTCGATCTCCTGACCTCGTGATCTGCCCACCTCGGCCTCCCAAAGTGCTGGGATTACAGGGGTGAGCCACTGCGCCTGGCCTAGCCCCCTGTCTTGATTATATGCTCAGGGTCCTGGGACCAGGGTCATCCCTGGGTTGAGGGTCCAGGGAGAGGGTCCTAGAGTAGAGGATGCGATGAGGCAGTGGTCCAAGGAGAGCAACTTAGAAAAGGAGAGTGAGAGGCCTGGAGATTACAAAGACCCACACCAAGAGTCTAACAGGAGCTGAG
Organism: Homo sapiens; assembly: GCF_000001405.40. Lineage (NCBI taxonomy): Eukaryota > Metazoa > Chordata > Mammalia > Primates > Hominidae > Homo > Homo sapiens. The sequence goes on along the minus strand of NW_003571054.1, from coordinate 287,551 downwards.
AGAGAGGAGGCCAGTCCCTCAGTTCGGGGTCCAGGACATGTGGGAAGGGGCTGCTTTGTACACACTGCAACCTTCATATTTCCTAGAAATGTACAAGAAACCCTCCATTTGTCTGAGCCAGGGCCCTTAGTGTCCTCGGGAGAGAACTTGACCTTGCAGTGCTACTCAGAGATCTGGTTGGGTACCTTCTGTCTGTCCAAGGACCGGTCACTTGTGCCTCCCCAAAACCATCGATTGAAAGACATGGCCTTACTCTCTCAGGCCAAGTTTACTCCAAGCCCTCTGACTTCAGCCCACAGGGGGACCTACTAGTGCTGTGGTCCACATAGTTCCTCCTTACCCCTATTGTCACACCCCAGTGACCCCTAAAGATTTTGGTCTCAGTACAGGAGCTCCAAGCACCACATCCGTTAAGATTCTAAACCTTAGCATGCATCCCTGTGCTAGGAGAGCCCCGGCCTGGGATAGAAGGAAGGAAAAACAGCAGGGACCAGTCATAGGGCAATCCCATCTCAGAAAGGGATGAAGAAATTCATGAAAGTGGGGGTCATTCTCACTCTCCATGCCTTACCCTACTCGGGGGTCACAGAAGGTGCTGGGTGAGTGGAATGAGAAGATTTGAAAAGGTAGGGGGCCAACCTTTGAGCAAAAGAGATGAAGCTGAGGAACAGAGCAAGAGGCACCACAACCCCACCTACTCCTTCTGTCCCTGCCCCAAACAGTCTGTGGGATCTGCAGCTCCTCACCCTCATGGACTCACTTCATGTTGGCTGAGCAACAAGGTCCTCACAGACTACAGGAGTCACAGTCTCCGGCAGCTCTGGGCTGAGTTTCTCAGCTTATTCTTCTGCCCTTGAAGTCTTTACAGAAGAGGTTGTTTCCAGAGAGCCTGGGAAGGAAGGTAGAGATGAAGGGAGGGAGCCTTATTTTCCAAGCAGCATTGAGGTATTTTGTTCCTGCTGGGTGGTCAGTATGAGGTGAAATGTGTAAAGAAAAAGATGAGCATAAGGATAGGAAAAATAGACACTGTGGATTACTAGAGGGTGGAAGAGGGTTAAAAACTACTTATTGGGTATTATGCTCACTAGTTGGGGGATGTGATCCGTACTCCAAACCTCAGCATCAAGCAATATTCCCATGTAAGAAATTTGTACTTGTACTCCCTGTGTCTGAAATAAAAGTTGGAAGGAAGGAAGAGAAAGAAAGAAAGAAAGAAAGAAAGAAGGGAAGAAGGAGAGAAAGAAAGAGAAAGAAAGAAAGAAAAGAAGAGGAGAGAGAGAAAAGAAAGAAAAAGAGAGAAAGAGAGAAAAGAAAGAAAGAAAGAAAGAAAGAAAGAAAGAAAGAAAGAAAGAAAGAAAGAAAGAAAGAAAGAAAGAAAGAAAGAAAGAAAGAAAACGAACAAGAGGTCCAGCTGAAGTGGAGAGAGGAGTGGACCCTATTCCTTGCCCCTGTCCATGGTGCTGATTCCTAGGGATTGCAAAGATGCCCCAGGCACCTGTGGAATCAGGTCCGCAATCAGAAGAGCAGACTAAAAGGTCCCTCTTATTCTGTAGGACAAGTGGGTGGGTAAGCTCTTATTGTGAAGGACAAGTGGGTGGGTAATTCACAGAAAGTCATAGCTTGAAGTGGAGATGGCTCAGCCACTCTAAGATAGACGCCTTTAGCAAACTCTATCTAAATCTGGGATAGTACTCTTCCATCCATCAAAGGCAGAATGCCATCCTTGTTTCCAAAAGGTATCTCAGTTCTAAACTTCTGTACCAGTAACTTCCTGGGAAAGAACGTATCAGAATTCACTTTTTCTGTGACTCCTGTCTACTCTGGACATATTTTATCTCTACCATTAACTGTTTTCATCCTGTGGAGGTAGGAATAAAAGCAAGATAGCAGTTTTCTGATTAGATTTCCATAATCATCAGGTTGTCACCCTGGCAGGAGAAACCACAACACTGAGTACTTGAAAGATAACCTCTCCTGGGTTTGAAACTTCCTGTACAGTGGCGTGATCTCTGCTCACTGCAACTTCCGCCTCCCAGGCTCAAGCAATTCTCCTGCCTCAGCCTCTTGAGTAGCTGGGATTACAGGCATGCACCACCATTTCCGGCTAATTTTGTATTTTTAGTAGAGACAGGGTTTCACCATGTTGGTCAGGCTGGTCTTGAACTCCTGACCTCAAGTGATCCACCCACCTCGACCTCCCAAAGTGCTGGGATTACAGGTGTGAGCCACTGCACCCGGCCACATATCTCCTTATTCTAGTTATTCTCAGAGAGTATTCTGTATATGTATATTTCTCTCCATCCAATGATTTGAGATTCATGGTTTTATTGTAGATAGGTTTTTTTCTCATTTTATGTCTTTATTGATTTTTACTTAATTTATTGCACATCTGTGAATACAGATCTATGTTACTTCACAGCACTTATTAAATTTCCTCATAATCAAATAAGTCTTGTCCACACTAGGAAACTTTCTGCATATTTGTTGAATACTTCAATCAGCTGATCCTATATTGAATAATATTATTTTTCTGGATCTTCATATAATGACCACTTTCTCATTTTTTCATTTTTCCAAACCTGTCACATCCTCAAAGACATTTTCCATGACAAAGTGGGTTAAGTGATTCTTGCCCACCTGTATTCTCTAATAGTCCTTGTATTAGGTTGACACACATTCGAGATCTCTAGGTAGCTTAATTTTTTTGTCCATGTATCCATCTGCACATGTTGTTTTCTAATTTATCTCCTTAAAATTTTTTGCTTTTTTCTCATGAGTTTCTACATTGAATTAACAATGGGAGATTTTGTTCACTGTAGTATTTCTTGCTCCTGGAAAAGAGGCTTGGATGCGGCCCGGCATGGTGGCTCACACCTGTAATCCTAGTACTTTGGGAGGCCGAGGTGGGTGGATCACCTGAGGTCAAGAGTTCGAGACCAGCCTGACCAACATAGAGAAACACTGTCTCTACTAAAAATACAAAATTAGCCAGGTGTCGTTGTGCATGCCTGTAATCCCAGCTACTCAGGAGGCTGAGGGAGGAGAATCGCTTGAATTGGAGGCAGAGGTTGCGGTGAGCCGAGATTGCACCATTGCACTCCAGCCTGGACAACAAGAGCAAAACTCTGTCTCAAAAAAAAAAAAAAGGCTTGGATTCTAAAATCATTCTCTCATTCGTCGCAAAACAGGACAGATGAGTGGACCCAATCATTAAAAGTGAGGCAGTGATTATTACTTTTAATAGTAGTAGTATTAAGCTACACTGGACCACAGAGATAATTAGATGAGGCAGAACAATAGAAAAGGCAGTGACAGCCTTTAGCTCTGTTGTACCCTGGACTCTGGTACAATCTAGAGTCCCACATACGCATCTCTGAATTCTGTATTGACAGATGAAGAGTTACTAGAGGTATTTACCTTAAGTGGTTAAGCACGGGTTTACCTAATATGGGAACAAATTGAAGATGAGAAAGGAGCACAGTTAAGTATTCCTGTATCTTTGAATTCCTTTTTTCTGTCACTGAGTTGTGGTTGCAAATCTAAACTCTTAATATCCCCCAAACCGAGAGGTTGGTGGTGACCTCAATGAGGCCCAAGAACTTGAACAAATTTGAGGAAGGAAATCATACAGTGCTCCATCTGAGGTGGAAGTTGAGGTTAGCAAGGATGGTTACACAATTCTCCATGAGAAGGGAAGAGAGGTCCAGGCGCGGTGGCCCCAGCACTTTGGGAGTCCAAGGCAGGTGGATCATCTGAGGTCAGGAGTTCGAGACCAGCTTGACCAACAAGGTGAAACACTGTCTCTACTAAAAATACAAAAATTAGCCAGGCATGGTGGCAGGCCCCTGTAGTCCCAACTACTCTGGAGGCTGAGACAGAAGAATTGCTTGAACCTGGGAGGCAGATGTTGCAGTGAGCTGAGATTGCACCACTGCACTCCAGCCTGGGCAATGGAGCAAGACTCCATCTCAAAAAAAAAAAAAAAGAGGGAAGAGAGTTGTTATGAAGGAGCCAAGACAGGGGAGCAGGAGTAGAATGGCCCCAGCTGCTCTAATCCTCCCATGCTCTTATTCGTAGGAGTCCTTGATCCTCTCAACCAGCATCCACCAAGTATAGTTTCAAAGTCAGGAGTAACTACGACTTCCCTTTCAGGAGTGTGAATGTGTAAACACCCATCCAGGCTCCCAATGTGGGTGCAGCCTGTCTAGCCCCCAGTGAATGCCCTGTTCTGTCTACTGACCATGCCCCTTCAGACTATGCAATGGAGAATCTCATTCCAATGACCATGCTGGCTTGATCCTGGCGGTCTCTAGGGGATGATCTTTCAGGCTCAGCACAGCCAGAGAAGGCCCCCAAAGGCCGCCAACATGGAAAGTCAAGATGATTTTGGATTGACTCTTCAGTTTGGAGAACTTTGAAAAATCTGCATCAGAAAAGCTGTGCTGGCCCTAGAAGAATCTGGGAGAGCTGGAGGCACGTGCTGTGTGAACGCTGTGCTGAAGGATTGAAGATGACTACTATTTCTTTTAGGTGAAGGATATGCAAGAAGAAGTTAACCTAACAGTGATGAGGATGCTAACTTTAGAAGGACTTGTTTGTGAGCTTGATTCTTGGTTGGCATCTAGGAACTTGCTTCTAGCATGTCCCCTGTGTTACTAAGAGACAACGTGAGGTTGTGTGCCTGCGGCACTGAATTCTGCTGTTATGTCTTCACTAGGCTGTTTCTGTAAACAGTGTAATTCATGGCGAACACCCGGTTTCCTCTGGTTTCTCTGTAGCTGCTCATTATGCCTATGTGGTCCCCACCTAATAACAATCTTGAACATTGAGTCTCAAGCAGATTTGCCTGGGGCCAACACTGCACATGTGTTGCTGCATTTTATGCTGGTGGAATGAACAAGTTAAGACACAGGTTTGCACAACTTATAACCAACATCATTTTTCTTTTATTTTCTTTCTTATTTCCATAGGTTTTTGGGGAACGTGGTGTTTGGTTACTTGCAGAAGTTCTTTAGTGATGATTTCTGAGATTTTTGTGCACCCATCACCCTAGTAGTATACATTAAACCCGATTTATAGTCTTTTATCCCTCACCTCCTCCCTCCCTTTCCCCCGAGTCCCCAAAGTCCATTGTAGCATTCTTATGCCTTTGCATCCTCATAGCTTAGCTCCCACTTAGGAATGAGAACATAAAATATTTGGTTTTTCATTCCTGAATTTCTTCACTTAGAATAATAGTCTCCAATTTCATCCAGGTCACTATGAATGCCATTATTTTGTTCCCTCTTATGGCTGAGTAGTATTCCACAGTGTATATATATTTGTGTGTGTGCGTGTATACATATATATATGTATATATGTGTGTGTATATATGTATATATGCGTATATATGTGTGTATATGTATATATATGTGTATATGTATAGATGTATATATGTGTGTGTGTATGTGTGTATATATATATGACAATTGCTTTATCCGCTTGTATAATCAACATTATTTTTCTCAAATGTATTTTGGCAAATAAAATATTTTCCAAAAAGTGAAAAAAAAGTTACTCTTATATAACGATGGCCTAAGATACCACCTACTGATGAAAGTGAGGTGGCAATTTTGGATTAACGGGCATCACAGGCAACTACATAGATCCTCTCAGCAAACATACATGAGGAAAACCAAAACCAACCAGACAGCCAGAACCGGAATTAAAAACTAGTCCTTCGACTGGGCGTGGTTGCTCACGCCTGTAATCCTAGCACTTTGGGAGGGCGAGGCGGGCGGATTGCCTGAGCTCAGGAGTTCAAGACCAACCTGGGCAACATGGAGAAACCCCATCTCTACTAAAATACAAAAGAAATTAGCCAGGTGCGGTGGCATGCCCCTGTAGTCCCAGCTACTCAGGAAGCTGAGGCAGGAGAATCACTTGAACCCAGGAGATGGTGGTTGCAGTGAGCCAAGATTGTGCCACTGCACTCCAGCCTGGGCAACAGAGTGAGACTCTGTCAAAAAAAAAAAAAAAGGAAAGAAGAAAGAAAGAAAGAAAGAAAGGGGGGGAGTGAGGGAGGGAGGGAGAGAAGGGAGGGAGGGAGGGAGGAAGGAAGGAAGGAAGGAAGGAAGGAAGGAAGGAAGGATTTCTACTCATGACTGTGATAATCTGTGTATTTAAGCAATATTATATGTACAATTTCTTAGTGCTCAGGGTAGATGAGGATTCTTGGGTGGGAGCGTCAATTGTCCAACACCCTGATTTTCTCAAATTTACAACCCTATGTCTTACTCTGTCCTGGGAATTAACCATCATTGAGCTCCTTCGAAGTCCCAGTCACCGCCGACCCCCACGACCCCTCTGATGAGTGGGGTGTGTAACAACTTGCTCCACACAAGGAAACTGAGGCTCAGAGAAGGGGTTGTGAAGGCTCAAGGTCACATGGGCAGCAGATAATGAGCAATCATTAAGTAAAAATCAGCTCCCCATCCCAACAGGTGAGTTCCCCTCAGGGAAACAAAGGACACTGAAGACTCAGGAGTGGATCACAAGTCTGTTTCCAAGGAGACGAAGGTGGATACTGCTGCTAAGAGAAAGGGAAAGTCCATGGAGGGCACGGGTTGATAGAGCAAACTGGCAGTGTTGGATACAGGTCGTGTTCTCTACCCATATTTCCTGTGTTTCTCCATTGCGCTCATTGCCACAGTGCAGCTCAACTTGAACTACACAGCCTGATGTCAGATGCGTCTCTGCTGACCTGAGTCTGCCCTGCACCATGGACCTGCATTTTCCCTGAAGCATCTCCACGACGGATGAGATGACTGGCCATGGTAAGGACCCCACAACCCCGTGCTGATAGACAGGATGAAGGAGTAAAGGAGACCCCATGTGGAGGCTCTGAGAGGGGAAGAGAAGCCCTCAGTTACCCTCACCTGGAAGAGGCTCACTCAGGGAGGCCCTGGGCCCATTTTTCTACTACATCCTAGCCCTCAATAAGATGAGGAAAGATCCTGCAGCCAGTAGCCAAGGATCAGGGGGAGCCCATTTCTGTCTGAAATGTCTTCAGGAAACCTGGTGCTCACTCCCACCTCAGCCCTGGGGAAATGAGAGCCAGGCTTCTGCAGTTCCCCTTCCTGTGGGGCTGCTGATGGGACAACCCCATGACAGGGAGAACCCAGCCTTTGAGTGTGTCTGTCTGTCCTCCTGGACACCATGGTTTCATCCATCTGTACAGCTGGGGCCAGTGGGAGGAGATGCCGTGACTCCCACCCTCACAACCCTACTCTGACTTGGTGAGATTTCAAGAGGAGAAGGGGCACCCTAGTCTTGAAGGGACTTAACTCCAGAGCCAAGCCCTGGTCTATCAGGAAATCTCAGGGGTCAGGATGCTCCCAGGCAGGGGAGGACCTGCTCAGGCTTCAGGGGCAAATCTCTCACAGGGAACTCTCTTCCAGGGCTGAGTCTGAGCTTCAGGACCCATGTGCAGGCAGGTGAGTCTGTCCCCAGCAGTCCCAGGTCGCTCCTGCTCACTGGGGACAACGGGCCACCCCCAGCCACCTGGGGATGGAGAACAGCATCTCTGAGCTGACTGATGGGGACATCTGGGCGGGTCTTGGGACTGACAGCTGGGATTTGAGGAATGCATTAGTATCTTGGGACCCAACCTGTGATTTCATTTCAAGGCTCCTCACTAAACCCACCACCTGGACTGAGCCAGACTGTGTGATCCCTGGGAGGAGGCCTGTGACCACCTGGTGTCAGGGTACCCTGGAGCCCCAAGAGCACCAGCTGGATAAAGAGGGAAGCTCAGTGTCACAGAACATTAAGGAAACCACTGGGGCCTGGGAACAAGACCAGGACCCATATCTCACACAAGCCAGAGCACAATGCAGAGAACTGTCACTGTTATTATCAAAGTGCCACAGGCCGGTCAGGGCACAGTGACCCCCCTGGTGCTGGTGGTGACAGGTGAGAGGACACTCAAGGCGCCCAGCCGCAGGCTCTGTCCTCAGGAAGGGGGTCACTTGCGCCCTGACTTTACTGTCTTTTAGGGATGTCCCATAAAGGGGCAGAAGTGCTGAAGCTCTCAACCTCTGGGTGGCGTCTGCATATCGTGCAGAACCATCTGCAAACCAGGCTTGAGTCTTCACTTTCTCTGTCAACGGAGCATAGAGAAATCCCCATGAGATTATAGGTGCAGGCTGGAAGGCAGAAGGTTGTGTAGCAGGGACAGGAACCATGGGCATTTGGCCCCCTGCTTTGTGTAAATTGCTCACACTTTCAGGGCCTGAGTGGACATGATCTTATTATACAGCTTGCATCGGCTAACACACACTTCACATTTCATGGTACCTTGGTGACCTGTGCCCAAGCATCCAGTCTCTCCTAAGGCTCAATAATGGAAAAAAATATAATATTTTCCTTTTTTTTTTTTTTTGAGATGGAGTCTCACCCTTCTTGCACAGGCTAGAGTGCAGTGGCATGATCTCGGCTCACTGCAATCTCCGTCTCCTGGGTTCAAGCGACTCTCCTGCCTCAGCCTCCCAAGTAGCTGGGATTACAGGCAGGTGCCACCATGCCCGGCTAATTTTTTTATTTTTAGTGGAGACAGGGTTTCACCATGTTGGCCGGGCTGGTCTCGAACTCCTGACCTCAGGTGATCTGCCCACCTTGGTCTCCCAAAGTGCTGGGATTACAGGCATGAGCCACTGTGCCCGGCAAAAAAAAATATATGTTTTTCAAAAGGAGACTAGCTATCTGTGAATGATGATAGGATTTTGCTCCACAATCCTAAGTGTCTAAGCCCCAATTCACCTATAGGAAGGAGCTTGTCAAAACCTCCAAACAGCATCTCGATCTGCCACTGACACTTCAAGCACCATCTGTTCCACTGGATCATATGGCCCAGGTGGCAGAAGAGCTTGTGCAGGACCTGGATCTGTTGCAGAGCCTTCCCCTATTCCACACCCCACTCAAAACTTTTTTTTTTTTTTTGAGATGGAGTCTCACAGTGTTGTCCAGGCTGGAATGCAATGGGACAATCTCGGTTCACTGCAACCTCTGCCTCCCAGGTTCAAGCAGTTCTCCTGCCTCAGCCTCCTGAGTAGCTGGGATTACAGGCGCCCGCTACCATGCCTGGCTAATTTTTTGTATTTTTAGTAGAGACGGAGTTTTGCCATGTTGGTCAGACTGGTCTCAAACTCCTGACCTCATGATCCGCCCACCTCGGCCTCCCAAAGTGCTGGGATTACAGGCATGAGCCACTGCACCCGGCCTCCTTTTGAGTCACTTAGTAAATGGGCTAATGGAGCACACCCACATGAGAAATATGTTGCTTTCAAAATCCAAGAGGTAGGGCCAGGCACGGTGGCTCACGCCTGTAATCCTAGCACTTTGGGAGGCCGAGGTGGGCGGATCATGCAGTCAGGAGTTCGAGACCAGCCTGACCAACATGGTGAAACCTTGTCTCTACTAAAAATACAAAAATTAGCTGGGCGTGAGGGCGGGCACCTGTAATCCCAGCTACTAGAGAGGCTGAGGCAGGAGAATCGCTTGAAATCGGTTGCAGTGAGCCCAGATTGTGCCACTGCACTCCAGCCTGGGCAAAAAAAGCAAAATTCTGTCTCAGGAAAAAAAAAAAAAAAACCCAAGAGGCTTACTAGGTACCATGGTTCTTTTGGTTGTAGGAAGGGCCAGATGCAACAACTTACCTTTTGCTTTAGAAGTTACATCTCAACATTTTCCATATCAGTGGACTCAGAAATTGTGTTGAGGCGGAAGGCTCCAATATTTTTGTGGAATTTATTTCTCACCCTCTGTCATGCAAATGTGTTACTAATAAATTTGGAATAGGTGCTACTTCTTGCTTTCCTGGTCCAAATAGCATAATTTCTTTTTTTAACTTTATTTTATTTTTATTTTTGATATCTAATTTAATTTAATTTTATGTTCTGGGATACATGTGCAGGACCTGCAGGTTTGTTACATAAGTAAACAAACGTGTGCTGTGGTGGTTTGTTGCACCCATCAGCCCATCACCTAGGTATTAAACCCGGCACCCATTAGTTATTTATCCTGAGGCTCTTCCTCCCTTTTCCCCCCAACAGGCCCAAGTGTGTGTTGTTTCCATTCCTGTGTCCATGTGTTCTCATTGTTCAGCTCCCACTTATGAATGAGAACATGCAGTGTTTGGTTTTTGGTTCCTGTGTTTGTTTGCTGAGGATAATGGCTTCCAGCTCCATCCATGTCCCTGCAAAGGACATGATCTCATTCCTTTTTATGGCTGCATAGTATTCCATGGTGTATATGTACCACAGTATCTTTATCCAGTCTGTCATTGATGGGCATTCCAACCAGCATAATTTTATCAATGTAATGATTCAGTCTAACATTTTATGAAAGGAGATGATAATGATGATTATGGTGAGAACTAAACTATGGGATAGAACTAAACAGTTGGTATGTGCCTGAGGTAGGACAGTGAATGTATATTGCTGGCTGTGCCTGCTCAAGGAAAATGGTTTCTGGTGGTCTTTATTAGCAGTGCTGGATAAGAAAGCATGGTGGCTCACGCATGTAATCCCAGCACTTTGGGAGGCCAAGGCAGGAGGATCACTTGAGGTTAGGAGTTCGAGACCAGCCTGGTCAACATGATGAAACCCCACCTCTACTAAAAATACAAAAATTAGCCTGGCATGATGGTGGGTGCCTGTAATCCCAGCTACTTGGGAGGCTGAGATAGGAGAATTGCTTGAACCAGGGAGGCGGAGGTTGCAGTGAACCGAGATCACGCCATTGCACTCCAGCCTGGGCGACAGAGCGAGACTCCGTCTCAAAAAAAAAAAAAAAAAAAAATAGAAGAAGAAGAAGGAGAAGGAGAAGGTGAAGGAGAGGGAGAGGGAGAGGGAGAGGGAGAAGGAGAAGGAGAAGAAGGAGGAGGAGGAGGGTGTGGAGGAGGAGGAGGAGGAGGAGGGTGCCACTGCACTCCAGCCTGGGCAACAGAGTGAGACTGCATCTCAAAAAAAAAAAAAAAAAGAAAAGAAAGATAGATCTTCTAGACTCTTCCAATTTAGATGAGGCCGTCTTGAATGACAACTCCTCTCTAACATTTTAACCTTCCTAAACATTTGAATCTCTTTCTCCGTAGTAAACCAAGGCAGGTCTGGCATGTTGAGTCTAATCACTTTGGGCCACCTTTGGTGGAAACCTCCACCCTAATGACCCCTTGATGGTCCCAGGCACCTGTGGCGACTCACCTCTGGCCTCTGTTATTTAATGTGGATCCATCTACACTTGGAGACTTCCACGCCTCTTTTTCTGCTCATGATATTGATGTTCTGCATATTTCAGAAATACTTCACGTACATTTCTCCATTAGGGATCCCAGATATGAGATCTTGAGAGAACACATCAATCATCCAACGCTATGATCCTATCATATCCCAAACACTTCATGTGCTGACCTGGTCTGGAAATGAAGCACAGATGAGCCTCTCCCATGTGTCAGGAACCACTGACCCCACAACCACTGTGACCAGTGGGATTTGTGACAACAAGCTGCAAAGGAAGAAACTGAGGCTCAGAGATGGTTCATTACCGCCCGAGGTCACGTAGGCAGTGAATGATAACCAGTCTCTGAATAAATATCAGCTTCCTCCCCCACTCCCCAAATCAAAGCTCAAATATAAGTCATTGTTCCCAAAACGTTGAACAGGGATTAAGGTGCAGAGGGACGGCCAAGGATGCAATGGGCACCGAGGAGGCAGGAAAGACTCAGAGGTTTGTTCCCAGGGACGTCAGGGGTGGACGCTGTAGCCAAAAAAAAAGGGGGGGGAAGTAAAAAAAAAGGGGGGGATTACTATTGATTAGAAAGAAAACCTATAGTCCAGGGCCACAAAGAGGGTCATGACTTCCTCTCTTTATTCCCTGCATTTCTCCTCTGTTCTCACTGCCACACACAGCTCAGCCTGGGCTGCACAGCCAGGTGTCAGGTGCGTCTCTGCTGATCTGAGTCCACCCTGCAGCATGGACCTGCATCTTCCCTGAAGGATCTCCAGGGCTGGAGGGACGACTGCCATGGTAAGGACCCCACAACGCTGAACTGATGGATGGGCTGAAGGAGGGAGGGAGACCTTGAGGGAGGCTGTGAGAGGGAGGAGGTCGCCCTCACCTGAAAGGGGTGACTCAGGAAAGCATTGGTTCTTTTTCCTGCTGCATCCCAGGTCTTAGTGAGATGAAGACAAGGCAGACAGACAGTGGCTGGGGGTCAGGAAAGACCCCATTTCTGTCTGAAATGTCTATAGAGGAGTTGGGCCCACCCCCACCTCAGCCCTACAGGAAAGACAGCCAGGCTCCTGGGAGGGCAGTTCCACTTCCTGTGTGGCTGCAGATGACAAAACCCCATGAGAAGAAGGACCGAGCCTCCAAGTGTCCACACCCTGTGTGTCCTCTGTCCTGCCAGCACCGAGGGCTCATCCATCCACAGAGCAGTGCAGTGGGAGGAGACGCCATGACCCCCATCCTCACGGTCCTGATCTGTCTCGGTGAGATTTGAAGAGGGAGGGAGCTTCTAACCTAGGAGGGACCTCACCCCACAGCCAAACTCTTGTCCCTAAGGAGACCCCAGGGGCTCACAAAGATCCCAGGGAGGGGAGGACCTGCTCAGGCTTCAGGGGCAAATTCCTCATAGGGAACTCTCTTCCAGGGCTGAGCCTGGACCCCAGGACCCACGTGCAGGCAGGTGAGTCTGTCCCTAGCTGTCCCAAGTCCCTCCTCCTCACCGGGGACAAGGGGCCACCCCTGTGCAGCTGGGGATGGGGAATAGCAGTTCTGGGCTGACTGATGGGGGTGTCTGGAGGGTCCTGCAGCTGAGAGCTGAGATCTGTTGGGTGGGAAATGACTTAGAATCTGAACTCTGATTTCCTTCCAGGGCCCCTCCCCAAGCCCACCCTCTGGGCTGAGCCAGGCTCTGTGATCACCCAAGGGAGTCCTGTGACCCTCAGGTGTCAGGGGAGCCTGGAGACGCAGGAGTACCATCTATATAGAGAAAAGAAAACAGCACTCTGGATTACACGGATCCCACAGGAGCTTGTGAAGAAGGGCCAGTTCCCCATCCTATCCATCACCTGGGAACATGCAGGGCGGTATTGCTGTATCTATGGCAGCCACACTGCAGGCCTCTCAGAGAGCAGTGACCCCCTGGAGCTGGTGGTGACAGGTGAGCTGACACTCAGGGATCCCAGCCCCAGGCTCCGCCCTCAGGAAGGGGGTCAGCTCTCAGGGGCTTCTCCCTCTCACAGCCCAGCCCTGGGGATGACGCGGGAGGTCTGAGCCCCATTTAACACGGTGCCTCCTTCTCTCCTAGGAGCCTACAGCAAACCCACCCTCTCAGCTCTGCCCAGCCCTGTGGTGACCTCAGGAGGGAATGTGACCATCCAGTGTGACTCACAGGTGGCATTTGATGGCTTCATTCTGTGTAAGGAAGGAGAAGATGAACACCCACAATGCCTGAACTCCCATTCCCATGCCCGTGGGTCATCCCGGGCCATCTTCTCCGTGGGCCCCGTGAGCCCAAGTCGCAGGTGGTCGTACAGGTGCTATGGTTATGACTCGCGCGCTCCCTATGTGTGGTCTCTACCCAGTGATCTCCTGGGGCTCCTGGTCCCAGGTGAGAAATTCACAGCATTGCCTGGGGTTCCCTGAGTCTCCCTGAGTCTCCAGGCAGGTGGGGAGGAGCCGCGTCTCAGGGCAGCTCCAGGTGGGATGATGTTGGGGCGAGAGGGCTCAGGGCTCCTGGGGCCAGAGACACAGGAAGATCAGCAGTGGTGAGGCCCCGGGGGAGAGGGAAAGTTTGTGGGGAAGCCTGAGGGTCGGCTCCTGGAAACCATGAGCACCTTTTCCCAGGTGTTTCTAAGAAGCCATCACTCTCAGTGCAGCCGGGTCCTGTCGTGGCCCCTGGGGAGAAGCTGACCTTCCAGTGTGGCTCTGATGCCGGCTACGACAGATTTGTTCTGTACAAGGAGTGGGGACGTGACTTCCTCCAGCGCCCTGGCCGGCAGCCCCAGGCTGGGCTCTCCCAGGCCAACTTCACCCTGGGCCCTGTGAGCCGCTCCTACGGGGGCCAGTACACATGCTCCGGTGCATACAACCTCTCCTCCGAGTGGTCGGCCCCCAGCGACCCCCTGGACATCCTGATCACAGGTGAGGAGCCCAGCGGGTTCAGTCAGGGACCCAGGCTCCGCAAAGGCCCTGCTGGGGGAGCCCAGGTGGTGATGGCCGGGATGAGGGGTGGGGGTCCTAAGGGAGGGAGAGACAGACAGTGACAGGGGTGGGCGGGGAGGGGAGACTCAGAGAAAACAGAGACAGAGAGACTGAGGGTCCCAGGGAGAGGCCTGGGGAGGTCTCAGCTCAGAGCAAGGTGGGGCAGCCCCTCACCCATCCTTCTTCTCTCCAGGACAGATCCGTGCCAGACCCTTCCTCTCCGTGCGGCCGGGCCCCACAGTGGCCTCAGGAGAGAACGTGACCCTGCTGTGTCAGTCACAGGGAGGGATGCACACTTTCCTTTTGACCAAGGAGGGGGCAGCTGATTCCCCGCTGCGTCTAAAATCAAAGCGCCAATCTCATAAGTACCAGGCTGAATTCCCCATGAGTCCTGTGACCTCGGCCCACGCGGGGACCTACAGGTGCTACGGCTCACTCAGCTCCAACCCCTACCTGCTGACTCACCCCAGTGACCCCCTGGAGCTCGTGGTCTCAGGTGAGGGCCCTGACCCTGTCCTCTCTGAGCTCAAAGGCTCAGCTCAGGCCCTGCCCCCAGCAGAGCTCTGGGACAATAATGAATGAGGGGAGTGAAGGGGGAGGGTCTGCAGGGGAGGGTCCAGACCATGAGAGGGTGGAAATCGACAGGGACCTCTCACCCCTGGCTCCCACCCCTGAAGTCCCAGTAGAGTAAAGAGCAGGGAGGGCTGGGAGGAGATGGCGGGGCCGGGGGGTGAACCTCAGAGGAGAGGAGATTAGACTGAGAGTGGAAGACAGAGGCCCCACCCGCTCCCCTCCTGATGTCTCCACCTCAGAATCTGAGCCTCTGGGTCCCAACCTCTAAGTCCTGACCCCATGGGTCACAAAAAAAAACAGCCACTCCCAGCTCAAGAGAATTTTCTAGACTCATCTCAATGCTACCTCCAATATTCAGGGTCTGATTTCCAGGGAAGCAGAGGGGAGGGTGGACAGTAAGGGTGTGGTCTGCGTGGCTCCCTGGGGCTCCAGGGATGGGGCAGGTGTTCCCTCCGTAGTGTTCAGAGGGGAGGGAGGTGTCTAAGATTCAGCATTGATGAGTGGAGCAGCGGGGTCTTTCCCCCTCCCTCAGCAGGATTCCCAGGAGCCGTCACCTCTCATTGGAGAGCCAGGGTCAGGGGAGATCACAGTCAGGTACTTGGTCTAGGAGTCAGGTGGGAGGAGCCCGGGGAGGTGGGGCTGGGTCTGTGGTGGTTCAGCCTCTCCTTGGGAGGTGGAACTTCTGAAAGAGACCGTTCCCCTTGCACCCTGGACTCCCCATCTGAATAAGGGGGAGCTGCCTGGATGTGACCGCCCCAAAGCCCCTTCATTTCTGACCTTCTGGGGCATCTGGGATGTGGCTCAATCCTAGACCTGCTCTCATCTCCAGCCATCTCTGGCCCTGTCCTGATTCTCCAAATAACTGAGACTTGTAAGGGTTAAAAAGCCAACAGAGATGGGAGCGGGTGCATGCAGTTTCACTCATCCCTCCTGGAACCTCAGCTTAGTAAGACAAAGCCACAGTATTTTGAAACAACAAAGGTTTACAAAGCCCCACTGTTTTAGAATCTGCTGTCTTTCTTTTTTTTTGTTTTTTTTTGAGACGGAGTCTCGCTCTGTCTCCCAGGCTGGAGTGCAGTGGCGCGATCTCGGCTCACTGCAACCTCCATCTCCCGGGTTCACGCCATTCTCCTGCCTCAGCCTCCCGAGTAGCTGGGACTACAGGCGCCCGCCACCACGCCCGGCTAATTTTTTATATTTTTAGTAGAGACAGGGTTTCACTGTGTTAGCCAGGATGGTCTCGATCTCCTGACCTTGTGATGTGCCCGCCTCAGCCTCCCAAAGTGCTGAGATTATAGGCGTGAGCCACCGCGCCCGGCTGTGTTTGGATGTTTTAAAGCACAGTGGCCTGAGGGAAACTGACTGGGCGGCTCCCTGTGGCATGGGAAACCCGGGGGAGGTCAGCGGGGGCTACAGTGCAGCCCAGCTCTGGGCCTGGGGGGTTCATGTCCAATGTTGTCCAATCACTGGATAATTCTGACATCTAACTAAACCTCTTTTATAGGAAAAAGAGATGCTTTAAAATTGTTAATTTAAATTTAAATCAGAAGAGGGCAATTTGGTAATAAGTTAATATGAAATACAATGAATATACCCAAACCAGTAGCTTTCTCATGGGTACTTACCTCTTGTTTAAAAAATATAAAGGAATCAAATACTTCACTTATAAGTTGTCAAAGGTGTTGAATAATTTGTCATATGAGTTACCTCTGAATATGTCTCTTCTCCTCTGTTTTGATTCTCAGGAGCAGCTGAGACCCTCAGCCCACCACAAAACAAGTCCGACTCCAAGGCTGGTGAGTGAGGAGATGCTTGCCGTGATGACGCTGGGCACAGAGGGTCAGGTCCTGTCAAGAGGAGCTGGGTGTCCTGGGTGGACATTTGAAGAATTATATTCATTCCAACTTGAAGAATTATTCAACACCTTTAACAATGTATATGTGAAGTACTTTATTCTTTCATATTTTAAAAATAAAAGATAATTATCCATGAGAAAGCTACTCGTTTGAGTATATTCATTGTATTTCATGCTAACTCACTACCAAATTACCCCATTCTAATTGCTTTTCTATGGATCTCCTCTAATTTCCTGATGAAATGTATACAAACCATGAGACAATGGAGATTTTACTTATTTCTATATTGCTTGCCAATATTCTCACTTCAAATATCAAATGTATGTAACTACATCTTAAATATCTAAAGTTTTACATCTATACATATTTATGTGTGGTTATATAAGTTACATTTGAATATGTGTGTAAGTATTTCCAAGTTCACTTGATAAATATATCCATATTCTTAATATATTTGATGGCCAGGCGCAGTGACTCATGCCTGTAATCCCAGCACTTTGGGAGGCCAAGGCGGGCAGATCACCTGAGGTCAGGAGTTTGATACCAGCCTGGCCAACATGGTAAAAGCCCATCTCTACTAAAAATACAAAAAAAAATTAGCCAGGCATGGTGGTGCGGCCCTGTAGTCCCAGATACTAGGGAGGCTGAAGCACAAGAATCACTTGAACCCGGGCGGCAGAGGTTGCAATGAACCGAGATAGTGCCACTGCACTCCAACCTGTGCGACAGAGTGAGACTCCATCTCAATAAAAATAAAAATAGGCCGGGCACAGTGGCTCATGCCTACAATCTCAGCACTTTGGGAGGCCGAGGTGGGAGGATCATGAGGTCAGGAGTTCGACACCAGCCTGGCCAACATGGTGAAACCGCCATCTCTACTAAAGATACAAAAAAAGTAGCTGGGCGTGGTGGCGTGCACCTGTAATCCCAGCTACTCGGGATGCTGGGGCAGGAGAATTGCTTGAACCCAGGAGACGGAGCTTGCAGTGAGCCGAGATCACACCACTGCACTCCAGCCTGAGCAACAGAGCAAGACTCTGCCTCAATAAATAAATAAATAAATAATAAAAATAATAAATAAATAAATAAGACATTTGATGTGGTAGGAGTTTACATGTTTGTTACTGGTCTAGATTCACCTAGATTCACACTTTGTAAAAGCAGAAATACTGATTTATGAACCTCTAATAGCACCACTATTTAGCAGACAGATATTTTTGGATGGGGGCCGGGGGGAAGGTATCACATCATTCTAGGTTTTCCTGATTATATGAAGAATTAGTTAATTAGATTAATTGGACAATGAAAACCCAGGTGAAGGGGAGGCAGCCCCAGACTTTCACCGCTTTGTGCTTCTGACATTCGGGAGCCCCTGAGGACCAACCCCTCATCCAGGGAGCCTGGGTCCTCAGCTGGTGGATCCGTGAAACTCTCATCTCCGGGGGAATTGGCTCATGTGCTCCCGTGTCCCAGGCTGCACAGACAGCACACAGGGCTCAGTGACCTCTGTACTGGGGACCACTTTCCTTGCAGATCCTGAGCCCTCAGGGTGAAGGAAAACTCTCCCCCAAATGACTCAAGAGCAACATTTGGATTTGTAGAAAGCAGGAAAGCTGAAATAATTCATTAAGAAGAACGGAACGAACACTGCTACAGAGGAAGAGTTTACTAAGGAACTCCTTAGAACTCATGTCAGGAGACAGGGGAAGATAAGAATGCCGAGCCCATGGGAGAGGCTGGCTCAGGGTACTTCTCCTTTGCTTTGATTCTCAGGAGCAGCTGATACCCTCAGCCCATCACAAAACAATTCAGACCCCAAGACTGGTGCGTGAGGAGATGCTTTCAGTTATGGGGCTGGCACAGAGGGTCAGGTCCTGTGAAGGGGAGGTGGGTGCCCTGGGTGGACATCCAGAGGTCCTGGGTGATGTTGATCTGCCCTGACCTCTGTGGTCTCTTTGCCCACCATCCCCAACCTCACACCCCCAGGATTACACAGTGGAGAATCTCATCCACATGGGCAAGGCTGGCTTGATCCTGGTGGTCCTCAGGATTCTGTTATTTGAGGCTCAGCACAGCCAGAGAAGCCCCTAAGATGCAGCTAGGAGGTGAACAGCAGAGAGGACAATGCATCTCTCAGAGTGGTGGAACCTTGGGAATAGATATGGTGATCCCAGGAGGTTCCGGGAGACAATTTAGGGCCAATGCTATCTGGACTGTCTGCTGATAATTTCTAGAAGGAGGAATCAGTGTTGGATTGCAGAGATATTTTGCAGGGTGATCCATGGAGGACCATTAACATGTGATACCTTTCCTCTCTATTAATGTTGACTTCCCTTGGTTGGATCCCCTTCTTTTCCCACCCCTAGACATGAGGCTACATCCCACATGGCAGGGCTGGATCCACACCTCTGCACATCTGTGTGCTCTGGTCCATGGTGTGTAACACAGTCTTCTTTATTCCTCATTGCCATACTCCCTGGTGTGCTTTATTGAGCCTCCATCTCTTCAGTTCAGAGTTCCAAACGTGCTTCAGTAACTAAATCAATGGGAGAGTATCAGATTTCAACCAGGAAAAGATAAATCCACCCTGATGCCCTGACACCCTCTCCAAACCCTACAAGCCCTTCCCTCCTTCTCAGATGCTACCTGTGTATCTTCTCCTCAGATCACTGTGTAACCATCACTGCCATCCTGTTCCACACATTGTCATCATCCTACACCCATTCAGCAGCCACTCCCCATTCCCTCTTCCCTCCAGCACCTGCTAACCACAAGTGTGCTTTCTGTCTCTACGGATTTGCCTATTCTGTCTGAAAACATTTCAATCTCCTTTGACCTGTGAGCTCCTCACTTCGAGACTTCCTGCCTTTCCAGGCAGAACCAAAGTACACCACGTCAAAAGCAATGATAGGCATTTGCAGTGTGTTGGTGATCCACGAAAGGAAAATCACGGAAGTAGGATAGAAATCCAGCTGCAGACAAGACCTCAGGTCGATGAATCTTGTCAAGCAGTTGAGCTGTTTCTTTCTACTCACCTATGACAGTCAGACAGAAGTATGCAAAATGACTGGGGCTGATTCTTTTCTGAATTGTCCCAAACAGCAAGAGGACTTGAGTCCTAGCATTAAAGAGTTCAACATATCTAGGTCCAAGACGACTGTTGTGTTTGAAGGATGTAAAGCTTTGCTGTATAGGATAGAATGTTTGGAGGGAGGATCCTGAGAAAACATGAAGGACCAAATATTCACAATCTACTCTCTAGAATAAAGAAATGTTATCATTCACCATCTACCCTCTAGAGTAAACAAATCTTATCATTTGCCGTCTACCCTCTAGAGTAAAGAAATCTTATCGTTCGCCAGCTACCCTCTAGAATAAAGACATCTTATCATTCACCATCTACCCTCTAGAATAGAGAAATGTTATCATTCACCATCTACCCTCTAGAATAAAGAAATCATATCATTCACCATCTAACCTCTAGAATAAAGAAATCTTATCGTTTGCCATCTACCCTCTAGAATAAAGAAATGTTATCATTTGCCATCTACCTTCCAGGATAAAGAAATCTTATTAAGGACATTTTCAAAGCCTTAACAGAATATGAATGATTACAATATTATGTTTTACCTATACAGCGTCTTCCAAGTTCTAGTTTGGTTGTGCCAGGCCAAACATTTGAGCCAGATTTCGGCAAGATCAAGCAGGAGACTCTGGCATCTGTCGCTGATTACCTTCCCACCATACCCGGCCACCAGCCTTTCCCATGGACCCCCACATGTGTCTCCAGACTCTCGGGTACGAATCCTGTGAACACACTGACCTCCGCCTTCTGCATGACTGATCAGCAATATGAAATTTGCATAAACACAAATAGAAAATATACTGTCCCCACATTCCCTAAAATAAAACTGGGTCCTCGCCCATGGGCTTTTGCTGGATTATACTAACAAAAGGCAGGTCTTATAACACACATTCCATAGACTCACATCTCAGAGAATGTTGGTTCCACAGGCTCAGGATCCTGAACACACTGCTCCACTCTCAGGGCTCAGAGACATTCTGCATGTGGGTCTTCACCCCATTCGGGAGCCCTAATTCCTTCTTCCTCGGTTTTTCATACAGTGATTTTTCCCAGTCATCTTTAATACCTTCTTTTTTTAAAAAAATAAATAAAGATGAGTCTCACTATTTGCCCTGGCTGGTCTTGAACTCCTGGGCTCAAGTGATCCTCCCCGCTCAGCCTGCAAATCCCTTCATGCCCAGCCCTTACAACTTCATTAAAACACAAAATTTTAGTTTTTATTTCTAAAACTTTTTGGATTATGTTACATTTTGTTGAATATTAATATTTCCAATAGATATTTTACTAGTATACCTTTCTTCACTTACTGATTGTAAATTATCATTTCATTTTAGATGGTACTATTGTGTTTCATGCCTAGGTGTGATTGGGGTACTGGGCTATTTAACTTATCCTTCAGTGGATGAATTACTCTTTTACATACAGGATTAAAAAAAAAGAAAAATTTGGAATAACTTCACCTATTTAGTTAAGTATTCACTCAATTATATATTTTCGAATGAGGATTCATTTATCCTTGCCTTTAGAGAAGACACGTTCTAATTCCACTGTAGCTGAACTCTGAGTACTCACATGTGTACATGCACACTGACTCATACATGTGTGCCCGTGTGTGGTTGCATTCATGTGGGCATGTCTGTGTGTGATTTTCAAATACTTGCCTGTTTCTCACTTACATCACTGTGGCATCTCATATTCTACATTTTGGATTCATTGATTCTTTTTTTTTTTTTTTTTTGAGACGGAGTCTTGCTCTGTCGCCCAGGCTGGAGTGCAGTGGCACAATCTGCGCTCACTGCAAGCTCCGCCTCCCAGGTTCACACCATTCTCCTGCCTCAGCCTCCCGAGTAGCTGGGACTATAGGCGCCCACCACCACGCCCAGCTAATTTTTTTGTATTTTTAGTAGAGACGGGGGTTTCACCGTGTTAGCCAGGATGGTCTCGATCTCCTGACCTCGTGATCCGCCCTCCTCGGCCTCCCAAAGTGCTGGGATTACAGGCGTGAGCCACCGCGCCCGGCCGGATTCATTGATCTTCCAACTGGATGATATCATTTAAAATTGCCTTCACTGAGCATGAAAACAGTAATATCTAGTAACTTGCAGCTCAGAAAATGCCTTCTTTTTCCTCCCACTCTCTCTATCAAAATAGATGAAAACATTTCTGTATTAGTTAAAGGGTAAGTATAACACCTGGAAGAGAAAGCACATCTGATGATTTGAGAGATCCACCCTCCAATCCCTCCTCAGCCCTCACGAAGGGGAAGCCCAACCAGACAGCTTCACAGGTCCGTCTTGCCCTGAGCCTTCTTCTGTTTAGGAATTGGTCCCCTGCTGACCCCTTTACCTTTCAGGTATTAACCTGAGTAAGTATAGAATTCCTCACTTGCAGTTAGTCCCCTGAGAGTACTCTCTTAGCATCTCCTTCCCTTATCTTTTTACTATCGGGAAGTCCAGTCCCACTGAGAAGCAATGCTATTGACATGTTGAGTTGAAAATCACAAAACACAAAAATGCATTTTAAATTACATAATTCAGTCTAGCATATGTATTTTTTAATTTACTCCTATTTTTCAGTTTATCATGAGAGGTCAAGATTTGCATTTTGGCCAGGCGCGGTGGCCCACCCCTGTAATCCCAGCACTTTGGGAGGCGGAGGCAGGCGGATCAGGTGAGGGCAGGAGTTTGAGACCAGCCTGGCCAACATGGTGAAGCCCCATCTTTACTAAAAATACAAAAATTAGCCGGGTGTGGTGGTGCGTGCTTGTAGTGCCAGCTACTCGGGAGGCTGAGACAGGAGAATCGTTTGAACCCGGGAGGTGGAGGTTGCGGTGAGCTGAGATTGTGCCACTGCACTCCAGCCTGGGCGACAGAGTGAGACTCTGTCTCGAAAAAAAAAAAAAAAAGATTTGCATTTCATGCTTAAATGTATGCACACTAGTGACTTAATTACTTCCTCCCTGAAGACCCCAATGGCACCAGACACAAATGCTCTGTCAGTTTTAATTTTCTCTTTAATGCAGGCGCTTCTCCTTCTGACAAGCTTTCATTTCTCATTTTCTGGACATGACTGTGATAACCGGGGTGTTGATGAAATATTATGAGAAGCATCTCTCAAGGGCAGGAACAAAGGGGCTCTCCTTAGTGGAAACATCAATCTCAGGCCTTGATGGTGGGCGCCAGCATCCCCTCATGCCCCCACCCCTCCTGTCTTCACCTGCTCTGGAAATTACCCATGGCTGAGCCCCCTGCAGTCCCCAGGCTCCAATGACCCAGCTCCCCTGTGATAAATGGGGTTCATCACAGGCTCCAAATGAGGAAACCGAGGCTCAGAAATGGGAGGTTACTGCCCAAGGTCACACAGGCAGGGGGTGACACATGAATATTTAAATAAAGACAAGATTTTCCCTCAAAGCAGAGTGCTAACCCCACGTATTGTCCCAGAACCTTGAACTCAGGAGCACAGGATGGGAACAGGAGTGTTTGAAAGAAGACGGGGGCACCAAGAAGGCAGAGTCAGGTCAATGTTGTTTCCAGGGAGACGGGGGCGGACGCTGTTGCGATGAGTGAATGAGAAGTTCGTGAAGGGAACGTTTTTGCATAAAGAAAACCCACACTCCAGTTCTGGGAAAAGAGACATGATTCCTTCCCTTGTCTCCCTGTATTTCCCCTTTCTGTTCATCGCCACAATAAAGCTCAACTGGAACTGCACAGCAAGATGTGAGATGAGTCTCTGCTGATGTGAGTCTGCCCCGCAGCCTGAATTTGCATCTTCCCTGAAGCTTCCCCAGGACTGGTGAGAAGACTGGCCATGGTAGGTTCCCCACAAGGGTGTGTTTATGGGTGAGCTGAAGGAGAGAGTGAAACCCCATGAGGAGTCTCTGAGAGGAAGGAAGAACCCTCCGTTGCCTTCACCTGGAAGGGACCAACTCAGGAAGGCACCACGTCCATTTGCAGCTACGTCCCGGCCCTCAATGAGACGAGGACATGTCAGGCAGACAGTGAAAGGAGATCAGGAGAGATGCCATGCGTGTCTGAAATATCAGCAGAAAGCCTGGTGCCTGTCTCAAAGGATGGTTCAATATATGCAAGTCAATAAAGGTGACTCACGACATAAACTAAGAACAAAAAGCATGTGATCATCTCAACCGATGCAGATAAAGCATTCGAGAAAGGCCAAGTCCTGGGAAAACATGAGCCAGCGGGGTCCGGGACAGCTCACCACCCATGGAGATGCTGGTGGGAAAATCCTGTAAGTGGGAGTAAGGAAGGAGACCACTACTACTCCTGCTGCCCTCCTCCCCCCACCTTGCCTAGTTCACAAAACAGGAAGAGAGAAAAAGCCAAAAGTTGGAAAAATACAAAAGTAAGATAAATAGCCAGACAACCTTGGCACCACCACCCGGCCGTAGGAGTTAAAAAAAGTAATAATAATAACATCAACCCCTGACCTAAACTACTGGTGTTATCTGTAAATTCCAGACACTGCATGAAAAAAGCACTGTAAAACTTTTTGTTCTGTTAGCTGATGCATATAGCCCCCACAGTCACGTTTCCCACGCTTGCTTGATGTATCACGACCCTTTCACGTGGACCCCTTAAAGTTATAAGCCTTTAAAAAGGCCAAGAATTTCTTTTTCGGGGAGTTCGGCTCTTAAGACGCGAGTCTGCCCACGCTCCCAGCTGAATAAAAACCTCTTCCTTCTTTAATCCGGTGTCTGAGGAGTTTTGTCTGCGGCTCGTCCTGCTACAGGAGAGCCCTGCCTCTCTGTGCCATGACTGTCACTCCCATGGCCATGGTCCACTTCACTGAGATTTGACGAGGGGAACGGGAGATTCTAGCATGAGAGGGACCCTGCCCCACAGATAGGCCCTGGTCCAGTAGGAGACCCCAGGGGCTAGGGAGGATCCCATTCTCATTTTCCTGGGAAAATGTTTTCACTTCTCCCCATTCAATTTGATGTTGGCTGTGGGTTTGTCACGCAGGGGGTGTTGGTATTTTGCGGTATGTTTCTTTCATGCCTAGCCTGTTGAGGGATTTTATCACGAAGCGATGTTGGACTTTCTTGAAAGCTTTATCTGCATCTATAGAGATGATCATATGCTTTTTGTTCTTAGTTTATGTCATGAGTCACTTTTATTGACTTGCATATATTGAACCATCCTTTCTTCCCTGGAATCAAGCCAACTTGATCATGATGAATTATGTTTTTGATACACTGTTAGATTCCGTTTGCTAGTATTTTCTTGAGGATTTTTGCATCTGTGTTCCTCAGATTTCTTGGCCTGTAGTTTTATTTTTCTGTTGGATCCTTGTCTGATTTTGCTATCAGGATGATACTGATTTTGTAAAATGAGCTGGCAAAGAATCCCACTTCCTTGATTTTTGGAATACTTTCAGTATGATTGGTACCAGCCCTCCTTCGTACATACAGCTAAGTTCAACTGCGAATCCATCTGTTCCTGGACTTTTTTGCTGGAAGATTTTTAGTACTGATCCTTTTTCATTGGTTGTTATCGGTCTGTTTAGAGTTTCTATTTTTTGCCTGTGCAATCTTGGGAAGTTGTGTGTGTCTAGGAATTCATCTATTTTCTCCAGGTTTTCTAGTTTATGTGCATAAAGGTGTTCATAGTAGTCTCTGATGATCTTTTGTATCTCTGTGGTGTTGGTTGTAATGTCAACTTTATCATTTCTGATTGTGCTTATTTAAATCTCCTTTTTTTGGTTAGTGTAGTCAGCCATCTCTCAATTTTATTTATACTTTCAAAAAACCAACGTTTTCTTTCATTGATTCTTTGTAATGTTTTTGTGTCAGTCTCATTCTTTATCTGTCCTTTCAGAGTTTCCATTGTTTTCAGCATCCATCACTAGCGAGCCAGTGCGATCCTTTGGTGGTGCCACAATATTCAGATTTTTCACGGCGTCAGAATCCTTACACTGATTCCTTCTCATCTGGAGAGGCCTCCACTTACTCTCTTCGAATTTATTTTCGTTTGGATGGGATTTCTTTTGCACATTTTCCCCCAGCCCCGCAGGGAGGGTGACTGTAGAGCATGTTGGGAAGGGTCTTTTGGCTTTTCCCATGGCTTTGGGAGCTTCTGCAGCAGGGTTTGCATTGGGCTGTGCAGCTCAGATTGCAGGCCAGGAGCTGGTGCTTAAGGGTAAGAGCCACGCTCGGCACAAGCAGGTGGATGTGGACCTGGTGTGTTTCCTGTGAGGTGCTGACTCTTGTTTCAGGGGAAGGGCTGGACCGTGGAGTGTCAGGTGCCCTGAGCTTCCTGTTCCACAGGGGCGAGGGAACACCCCTGGGCAGAGCTGGAACCCCCGGCTTGCCCACAGATATCCCAGTGATGAGTGCAGGCACTAGTCCTGATGGACATGGCTGGAGCAGCTCCTAGTGAAATGCCCTGAGGTCTCTGCGGGGGGTGAAGGAGCTACACCGTTTCCAGTCCCATAGGGAGGAACGTTGTCTGTCTCCCTATCACACCCGTGCTCCAGGGCTCATGAGTCTCAGTTCAGACACACACTCTTGTCTCTCCCCAGGCCACAGTGTGGCTGAGGGCAGTGGGAAACACCTGCCTTGCCACTCTCTGCAGGCGTGGTTCCAAGGCAGAGCCTCCTCCCTCAGCCCAGTGCAGACCCTGAGCGGCTGTCTGTTGTCTGACGCGGTAGCTGCTTCATGTAGGTGGGATGTGGGGCTTCTGCCTCTCTGGATGGGAGAGTGGACATCAGTTGTGGTGGTGTTGCTGGCTGGGTGGGCCCGACCTCAGGCCCTGGGGTGAGTGGTCAGGTGCCAGCAGGTAGGAAAGGGCAGGTAGTTCCCGGATCACAGGCCCCTAGGTGGCCGGCTGGACAGCGTGTGTGAGTCCTGAAGGGGCTGGACTGGGTTTCGGCTGCTCCAGGGTTCAGATGCTGGCTGTGATGGGGAGGGATGGGCTGGTCCCCAGGTCACCGGCAGAACCTTCAGGCGGGGCAGGCAGAAGGCTCAGGTGGTAGAGCCTGCGGCAGATCACAGGCCTGTGGGGACTGGGCTCTCAGAAGGGCTGGGGGCTGCAGCTGAAATGTCCAGGTGGGGGCAGGGTGGCTGAGCTGTGGGCCTGTCACTAGGGAGGGCAGCGCCCCTCGGCTGGGGCACTGGAGACTGGCAGCTGTGAGGCACAGGGCCCGCTCACACTTCCCTCCTGAAGAAGTGTCACTCGGTTTTGCTCTGGGGACACGTGAAAGTGCCAGGCCTCCCCACACCCTCCCTGGGCCTGGGGCAGCAGGGGCAGAGGCAGAGGTGGCAGTGACTGCAAAGGGCTTGTCAGGGGCCTCTGAGCATTGGGCTTTCAGAGGGCACCGAGCCAGGGCCACGGTGTTCGGGTGGGGGCAGGACGGGTGCACTGAGGCCCTGCAGCTGGCAAGCCCCATTAGCAGGAAGGAAGCCCCATTTCGCAGGAAGCAACAGAGGTGGGCAGCTGTGTGGTGCTCAGCTTGGCTGCTCCTGTGCCCCAGCTGTCATACTTATTCTGGGGCCCACAGAGGTGCCTGGCCTCCTCCCTCCCTGCTAAGGCAGTGGCAGCTGGACCCAGGCTGCTCAGGGATCAGAAGCCTGTGGGATTCCACGTGGGCTCCAGTGGGGCCTTGGTACAGTCTCCAGGAGAAAACTGTGGGCCTCTGGAGGCCCAGAGGGGACAGGCGCTCTCCTGTGGGCAGGATCCTAAGGGCCCACAGCAGAGATGTAGATGCCAGGGACCCCTCACTCACTCACCCCTTCCCTGTGTTAGGGAGGCTCTCACTCATTCACCCCTTCC
The DNA here is from genome assembly GCF_000001405.40 of Homo sapiens. Taxonomy (NCBI): domain Eukaryota; kingdom Metazoa; phylum Chordata; class Mammalia; order Primates; family Hominidae; genus Homo; species Homo sapiens. Next base: position 260,000 of record NW_003571054.1, on the reverse strand, counting down.
CCGTGTTAGGGATCCTCTCACTCACTCACACCTTCCCCGTGTTAGGGATCCTCTCACTCACTCACCCCTTCCCCGTGTTGGGGAATCTCTCACTCACTCACCCCTTCCCCGTGTTGGTGAATCTCTCACTCACTCACCCCTTCCCCGTGTTAGGAGCCTCTCCTGGCTCCCACCTTTTCTCTTCTCTTCTCTCCATGTCCTCATGTTTCTCAGGTGAACCCCAGCATCCTCTTGGAAGATCCACTTGACCTGTTGGTATTTACTCGCTATTTTGGGTCCTCTTAGTGAGTAGGCAGACTCCAGCCCTTTCCATTCAGCCAACTTGAACCTCAGCCCCCAGTCATTTTCTTGCACTTTTTGCTCTTGGGAAATCCAGTCCCAATGTGCTTGTCTTTCATTGGACAATAATTTTCATTTTCTCCAGTAGTTTTAAAATTACTTTGTATCTATTCTAGATATCTTTTACTCTATCATAGTTAAGACATTGATGTTATTTATGAATTTGTTCACGTTAAACTCATGTTCTTTCTTCATTTCTATAAAAATGTCAACCATTTTCTTTGCAAGTATTTACTGAATAACATACTCCTTATTTCCTTCATTCTGAAAGTGTGATCCAAAGAGAGATATCTGTTTCCTCTTTTCATTCCATTTCTTGTGTGCATTAATTATCTTTTCTATTTTTTTCATTTCTAGTTTTTCTCTGATGACTAATGAAAAATTTTAGTAAATATTCTACACCAATACAATGTTTATCATTTCAGCTGTGTCTTGTTCTGGATGAAATTATTTCTAAATGTGTTAATATAATTTACTATTTTCACATCACAATAGCTTCCTAATTCATTTCTACAATTGCCTGTTTTTTCTCTAACGGACTCTTTGATTTTTATTCCTCTGGGGTGGGTTTTTCTCCCACACACCTGATCTTCCATATAGGGTTTCTCCCCAGGCTGACTCAGGAAGGAAAGCTGATGAGGGCATTGCTGTAGCCGCTCCTGCCCTGCGGTGTCCATGCTCCCAAGCTTAGAATCACCTCTGTGTTATGCCCGGCATGGCGGGGTCCATGTGAGCCTCACACTCCAGGGTCAGAGATGCCCGGTCCAACAATGATAAAGCGCATCTGTGTCATGCACACCCGGGAAGGTGGCTCAGTGCTGAGTGTAGCCCGGGTCACTGAGTCATCCCAGGGTCTGTCCACAAACACAGAAGAGGGGGAGTCACAGTCTCTAAGGTCCCACAGTTTCCTCCACTTTTTTCCTTGTTCTGAGAGTGAGACAAAGGGCCATGACTGTTCTGTGGGTTGGACAGATGCATGTTTCCACCTGCAGGCTGGAACCCAAGCTGAGGTCTTGAGCATCCCCAAGTACTGATAAAGCACTTTAGGTTGTTTCTAGAAAACACTGAAAAATTAACCCTTTTGCTAAAAGTGTAGAAACAAGCCCTCCCCTGAACCAAATTCCTGAAACTCTCAGGTTAAACTTCGTAACCCCATCCCTTCACTGCAGACTCCCAATAGAAAAGTTACAGGTGCAAGGATGAGATGACTTTGGTCAAACTCAGACCCCACAGGGCCAGGAAGGCCTGAAGGAGAGGAGGCCCATGCTTCCACGTCTCAGATAAGAACTGTTTCTAAGGACTTTTAAAAAACCCATAAGAAACTCTTCCATGTCCTTCAGCCCCTTCTGCTTTGACAAGGTTTATCACTAGATGTTCTTTAGGACGTCAGGAATTCAGATAAGATGCTCTCAAGAGAACCATTGACCAGCAACAGCATCTCCTCCAATGGACTGACAGCAACTCTGGCTTTGAACCTGTGGAACCAGGGAACTCTGTTTCCAGGCAGCTCTGTCAGGCTCTCCCTTGTTGCTGATAAGAACTTCCTTTACCTCTCTATGTACAGAGAGCTCTCTCTACGGTGCTTTTCCTCTACTCTCACGTCACAGGAATCATCAACACAGAAAAAGACTTCTAGGACCAGATGTATGGGGTTTTTTTCCCCAGACGCAGTAGCGAACAGCAGCTGGGTGTCCTCTAAGTCAGCTCTGGTGCTGTCTACCCAGAGACAGTCCCGGATCCCACAGATTGAAGGCCCATTCCCCAAAACTGCCCCCAACACCATTCCCAAGTCCAGACCTCCAGAACTTCTGACTGACTGGCTTCAAGTTGGGGATCCCATGCCCCACTCTTTGGGTTTGATTAATTTGCTGTAGCAGCTCACAGAACTCAGGAAACACTGACATTTCCTGGTTGAATACAAAGCACACTGCAGAGGACACAGATGAAGAAACTCATAGGAGGAGGCATGGGGGAAGAGGCCCGGGGCTTCCATACCCTCCCTGGGCGTCGCCCTCCAGGAGCCTTAGCATGCTCAGCCACCCAGAAACTCATGAAACCCAGTCCTCTGGGGCTTTCATGAAAGCTTCATGACATCAGCATTTCCTCCCACAAGGAACAGGGTGAGACTGTCTTCTGGGAGGGTCTTAAGATCCACTATCAGAAAGGCAGGGAACATTCGAGTCTTACTTTGGGTTAGGTGAAGGAAGGGCAGGAGGAGGTCAGAGGCCTCCCCTGAGGCCCAGCACAGCCAATGTTATAACAAAAGACTATAACAAGGGCTATGGGAGTTACAAGCCAGGAACTGCGGGTGAAAACCAGCATATATCACAACATCACACTTCCCTCTCTGGACACACTGTGGCTTGCCATGCCATGCACTCCATATTGTAATCCTTGCTTCTCACTCCCAAATAAACTCAAAATCCAGGCAACCCTGGAGCAATGCAGCCTTGAATTCCAGGGGTCTCTTATATGCACACTTTTTCCAAACAAACGGGGATCAAAACTATAGCATTTGTGAGAAACAAGACTTGCGTATATGAACGGCAGACTTTTCCTATATGCAGACCCAGCAGAGACAACGTCAGGGCTGGAGTACGAGCAAGTGTTGGTACATGTAGGGGGTACTGAAACGAATTGCCTGTGTATCCCAAGAAACAACTGTACTGAGAGATCATATTTTCTAGGGGTTTATTTTTGGTTTTGTTTTTATTTTAGGTTAAAGCTTTGGATAGAATACCCAGTGTCTCCTTGTCCATCTGAAGAACATGCTGCTATGTGGAAGCACATCCTTGAGATCCACAAGGAGACACTGGGCAAGAAGACAAGGATGCCCCACTGTGCAGAGGTCCCCCTAATAAATGCTCTATGAACACCCTGGTGTTTAGTGCTTCTTTCCTTGGAATTCCAGCAGGTCTGGACAGTTTGGTGCACTCCCTTGAGGGAATTCCCCTGGGCTGCTTGGGGTCCACTCCAGCCTCAGGTGTAGCTAGAGGACACAGCCTCCCACCTTGGTCTGGAGCCCTGAGCCCCTCACTGTCATTGCAGATCCCGGGGTTCCTCTCCCGGCTCCACTCAGTGGTGGAAACCTCCACCCTAATGAGCCCTTGATGGTCCCGGGACCCTGTGGCATCTCACCTCTGGCCTCTGTTCTTTCTTGTGAGTCCGTCTACACTTGGGGTTTCCACATGTCTTTTTCTGCTCATGACCTTGATACTCTGGGTATTTCAGAAATGCTACACATACGTTTCTCCATTACGGTCAGATGTGACATCTTGAGTGGACTCATCAATCACCTACAGAATGTGGAGTCCAACAGCAAGATCCTCTCACGTCCCAAAGCCTCAGGTCTTACCCTGGTCTGGAAATCAAGCACAAATGAGCCCCTCCCAATGTCCCAGGCACCACTGACCCCACAACCACTGTGACGAGTGGGATTCATGACAACAATCTGCAAAGGAAGAAACTGAGGCTCAGTGATGGGACATTACAAACCAAGGTCACGTAGGCAGCGGATGATAACCAGTCATCAAATAAATATCAACTCCCTCCCCCACTCCCCAAATCAAAGCTCAAACATAAGTCATTGTTCCCAAAATGTTGACCAGGAATTGAGGTGCAGAGGGACGGCTAAGGACGCAATGGGCACCGAGGAGGCAGGAAAGACTCAGAGGTTTCTTCCCGGGGGGGAGGGAGTGGACGCTGGAGCAAAAACATTTAAAAAGGGGAAGTTAAGAGGGGACTATTTGGTTGAAAGAAAACCCACAATCCAGTGTCAAGAAAGAAGTCAACTTTTCTTCCCCTACTTCCCTGCATTTCTCCTCTGTGCTCACTGCCACACGCAGCTCAGCCTGGGCGGCACAGCCAGATGCGAGATGCGTCTCTGCTGATCTGAGTCTGCCTGCAGCATGGACCTGGGTCTTCCCTGAAGCATCTCCAGGGCTGGAGGGACGACTGCCATGGTAAGGACCCCACAACGCTGTGCTGATGGATGGGCTGAAGGAGGGAGGGTGACCATGTGGGAAGCTGTGAGAAGGAAGGGGAAGCCACTGCTACCCTCATCAGGAAGGGCAGACACAAGAAGCACCAGTTCTATTTGCTGCTACATCCCGGCTCTCGGTGAGACGAGGAGAAACCAGACAGACAGTGGCTGGGGGTCAGGAAAGACCCCATTACAGTCTGAAATGTCTGCAGAGGGCCCAGTGCCTGCCCCCACCTCAGCTCTAAAAGAATGAGAGTCAGGCTCCTGGGAGGGCAGTTCCGCTTCTTGTGTGGCTGCAGATGACAACACCCCATGAGAAGGACCCAGCCTCTGAGTGTCCACACAGGGTGGGAAGGAGGGGAGGCTATTTCTCTCTGTGTGTCTCTGTCCCGCCAGCACCGAGGGCTCATCCATCCGCAGAGCAGGGCAGTGGGAGGAGACGCCATGACCCCCATCGTCACAGTCCTGATCTGTCTCGGTGAGATTTGAAGAGAGAGGGGAGCTTCTAACCTAGGAGGGACCTCACCCCACAGCCAAACTCTGGTCCCTAAGGAGACCCCAGGGGCTCACAAAGATCCCAGGGAGGGGAGGACCTGCTCAGGCTTCAGGGGGCAAATCCCTCACAGGGAACTCTCTTCCAGGGCTGAGTCTGGGCCCCAGGACCCACGTGCAGACAGGTGAGTCTGTCCCCAGCTCTCCCAGGTCCCTCCTCCTCACTGGGGACAAGGGGCCACCTCCGTGCAGCTGGGGATGGGGATTAGAAGTTCTGGACTGACTGATGGGGGCATCTGGAGGGTCCTGGGCTGAGAGCTGAGATCTGTTGGGTGGGAAATGACTTCGAATCTGACCTTTGATTTCCTTCCAGGGACCATCCCCAAGCCCACCCTGTGGGCTGAGCCAGACTCTGTGATCACCCAGGGGAGTCCCGTCACCCTCAGTTGTCAGGGGAGCCTTGAAGCCCAGGAGTACCGTCTATATAGGGAGAAAAAATCAGCATCTTGGATTACACGGATACGACCAGAGCTTGTGAAGAACGGCCAGTTCCACATCCCATCCATCACCTGGGAACACACAGGGCGATATGGCTGTCAGTATTACAGCCGCGCTCGGTGGTCTGAGCTCAGTGACCCCCTGGTGCTGGTGATGACAGGTGAGAGGACACTCAGGGATCCCAGCCCCAGGCTCTGCCCTCAGGAAGGAGGCTCTCAGGGGTGTCTCCCTCTCACAGCCCAGCCCTGGGGATGATGTGGGAGGTGGGAGCCCCATTTAACACGGTGCCTCCTTCTCTCCTAGGAGCCTACCCAAAACCCACCCTCTCAGCCCAGCCCAGCCCTGTGGTGACCTCAGGAGGAAGGGTGACCCTCCAGTGTGAGTCACAGGTGGCATTTGGCGGCTTCATTCTGTGTAAGGAAGGAGAAGATGAACACCCACAATGCCTGAACTCCCAGCCCCATGCCCGTGGGTCGTCCCGCGCCATCTTCTCCGTGGGCCCCGTGAGCCCGAATCGCAGGTGGTCGCACAGGTGCTATGGTTATGACTTGAACTCTCCCTATGTGTGGTCTTCACCCAGTGATCTCCTGGAGCTCCTGGTCCCAGGTGAGAAATTCACAGCATTGTCTGGAGTTCCCTGAGTCTCCCTGAGTCTCCAGGCAGGTGGGGAGCAGCCGTGTCTCAGGGCAGTTCCAGGTGGGATGATGTTGGGGCGAGAGGGCTCAGGGCTCCTGGGGCCAGAGACACAGGAAGATCAGCAGTGGTGAGGCACCGGGGGAGAGGGAGGGTTTGTGGGGAAGCCTGAGGGTCGGCTCCTGGAAACCATGAGCACCTTTTCCCAGGTGTTTCTAAGAAGCCATCACTCTCAGTGCAGCCGGGTCCTGTCGTGGCCCCTGGGGAAAGCCTGACCCTCCAGTGTGTCTCTGATGTCGGCTATGACAGATTTGTTCTGTACAAGGAGGGGGAACGTGACCTTCGCCAGCTCCCTGGCCGGCAGCCCCAGGCTGGGCTCTCCCAGGCCAACTTCACCCTGGGCCCTGTGAGCCGCTCCTACGGGGGCCAGTACAGATGCTACGGTGCATACAACCTCTCCTCCGAGTGGTCGGCCCCCAGCGACCCCCTGGACATCCTGATCACAGGTGAGGAGCCCAGCGGGTTCAGTCAGGGACCCAGACTCTGCACAGGCCCTGCCGGGGGAATCCAATTAGTGATGGCCGGGATGAGGCGGGGGGTGGTCCCAAGGGAGGGAGAGACAGAGAGAGAGACAGGGGATGGGTGGGGAGGGGAAGACTCAGAGAAAACAGAGACAGAGGCTCCTAGAGAGGCCTGGGGAGGTCTCAGCTCAGAGCAAGGTGGGGCAGCCCCTCACCCATCCTTCTTCTCTTCAGGACAGATCCATGGCACACCCTTCATCTCAGTGCAGCCAGGCCCCACAGTGGCCTCAGGAGAGAACGTGACCCTGCTGTGTCAGTCATGGCGGCAGTTCCACACTTTCCTTCTGACCAAGGCGGGAGCAGCTGATGCCCCACTCCGTCTAAGATCAATACACGAATATCCTAAGTACCAGGCTGAATTCCCCATGAGTCCTGTGACCTCAGCCCACGCGGGGACCTACAGGTGCTACGGCTCACTCAACTCCGACCCCTACCTGCTGTCTCACCCCAGTGAGCCCCTGGAGCTCGTGGTCTCAGGTGGGGGCCTTGACCCTGTCCTCTCTGAGCTCAAAGGCTCAGCTCAGGCCCTGCCCCCCAGGAGAGCTCTGGGCTGGGATGGAGTGAGCGGGGGTCTGAGCGGGGCTCAGCCAGTGGGAGACTCACCCTCAGAGGGAAGGAGGACAACAGGCCCTCCCAGGCCTGCGCACACTCAGCGGCATCGCCAGCATCATGGACAGGAGAGGCGGGTGGAGGGAGGGGCCTGGGGAGGCCACAGGGCCCATGTAGAGAAATTTGGTTTGAGGTGGAAACTTCAGGAAAGCCCCAGCTCCTCACCCTCCTCTCATTCTTTCACCCAGGACCCTCCATGGGTTCCAGCCCCCCACCCACCGGTCCCATCTCCACACCTGGTGAGTCCCTGAGGCCTCTGGCTCGAAGGGAGCGCAGCGACCCCCAGGGCAGCTTTGAGTGTCCAGGAGGATCCCATTCCCTTCAGGGACTCAATCAAGGGCTTCTGTCCAGGGAGCTGGGCAGAGCCAGAGGAGGGGCCACAGGGTCCCCAGGGCTCTGAGGCTGGGCTGGTGAGGGGTGGGGGATCGAGGCAGAGAGAAGTGTTGGGGCCCAGCCTGGGGGAGGAGCAGCCAGGCTGATGTGGGGAGCAGGGCAGCCCCAGCCCTCACCTCCCCCTCCTGACCCAGCAGGCCCTGAGGACCAGCCCCTCACCCCCACTGGGTCGGATCCCCAAAGTGGTGAGTGAGGGGCTCTGAGTGGGAGGTGGGCGGGGTCCCGGGGAGGCAGGGGTGGGTTCTGTCCTAGGTTCAGGCTCCTCTGGAGGTGGTGATGTAGACAGGCTCCTCCCCTGCCTGGGCCTCAGTTTCTCCAAGTGTAAAGGAGAGAGGCCTGCAGGTGGGAAAGTTCCTTTCAGCTCTCACTCCCAGCTGTGACCTCCTGGGAGAGGAGGCCCCTCAGGGAAGACTCCAAGACTCGATTCCGCGGGGGCCTGTCCCGTCCCACCTGCAGCAGAGACGGTGACCTGGGGCAGGGGAGGGGAGCAGAGTCGTGGTTCAGGACGGTCAGGCTCTTTCCCTGCAGCTCCGGGGCTCGGCTCTGGTGCAGGAACAAGGGCTGCAGGTCAGACTCCCGGGCTCCCTTCCCAGCTCTGCCGCTTCCTGGCTGGGGGCCCGGGGCAGGCGATTCCCCTCTCTGAGCGTCAGTTTTTCATCTGTAGAGTGGGTGGGGTGGATGTTTGTGTGCTGCACGACTGTTGTGGGGGTTGGAGGTGGTGAACAGAAGGTCCAGCAGTCACCTGCACACAGTAGGCGCTCATTTCAATGACATCACCCCCATCCCTGACATCATCGTGCTCAAGGTCTGGGAAGGCACCTGGGGGTTGTGATCGGCATCTTGGTGGCCGTCGTCCTACTGCTCCTCCTCCTCCTCCTCCTCTTCCTCATCCTCCGACATCGACGTCAGGGCAAACACTGGACATCGAGTGAGTAGGGAAGGGGAAACCCTGTGGGCCGACCGAGGGTGGGCTCAGGGCACAGCCAAAGAGAATCCAAACCACTGGGCAAATGCAGCTTTGAGAAACTGTTCCAGCATTTCTCACCAGGTGAATGGAGAAAGCACTTAACGTCAGTCCCATCTACAAATATAAAGTGTCCTCCGGGCTCAGTCCCATCTACAAATGTAAAGTGTCCTTCGGACTCTGTCCATCTCATGAGGCATTTGGAACATGGAGGCAGGAGTGTTTTTAGGTTTCCTTCCTTACCTTCGAGCTGTGTGTGCAGGGCAGGGGGCTCCAATGTTCCCAGGGCTGAGGCTCTGTCCTTCTTCCCCCAGCCCAGAGAAAGGCTGATTTCCAACATCCTGCAGGGGCTGTGGGGCCAGAGCCCACAGACAGAGGCCTGCAGTGGAGGTAATTCTGCCCGAAGACCCCAGACTCCCACCTGCTCGTGGCCCATACACTGCCCCTAAAGCTCCCATTCCTCCCCCAGGTCCAGCCCAGCTGCCGACGCCCAGGAAGAAAACCTCTGTGAGTGAGAGGAAGAGGTGACCAGCCAGGAGGGAGATAGGGGCCCCGAAGTTTCCGTAGCAATGGGGAAAGGGGCACCGGCTGGAAAGGGTCTGGGGCTCAGGGTGAGATCATCTCACCCCACACTGTGGGACCTCAGGGACATTGCAGCCCCTCCCTGCATCTCAGTAGCCCCATCTGGGAGCAGGGCAGGGGCTGGCAGGACTCAGAGGTCCCAGGGAACCTTCCCAAGAGACGAACCCCTTGCTCTGCCCCAGCAGATGCTGCCGTGAAGGACACACAGCCTGAAGATGGGGTGGAGATGGACACTCGGGTGAGACCCCGCCCCTGTCCCAGGCACCAAAGGCCTCCTGGTGCCAGATCTAATCCAGCAGGACTTCTCTGTCCTCCTTCCCCCGGCTCTCAGCATCGTCACGGTGGACCCCTCCTTGTCCAGCACGCTGCCTCCCGCCTGCTGTGACCTCACTCTCTCCTGCTGTCCTGGGACCTCGTGGGCCTCCTCCCGGGTCCCCTTCCTGCTCCTCATCCTCTGTTTGGCCGTCTGGTTGTTAGAGCGCTCCCCAGGCCTCTGGAGGATGAGGAATAAATGAACCACCCCGGTCCCCTGGGCTCCCCTTCATTCATTCAACCAGTGAGTGTTCCCAGGGAGCTCACTGTGGATCAGGCTCCCCATGGGAGCTGCAGACACAGCAGGGAGCAAAGCCGCCCCCGCCTCCTGAGCTCACCTCGTGGTGGGAGACAAAATGCAAATAAATGCGCCATGTCCAGGAGTGCAACGTGCTTAAAGGAACATACACCAGGGAAAGGGCAGAGAGTGTGGGGCAGTGGGGCCAGTCTGAATGGAAGGGGAGGGCTGTCTGCTCAGCTGTCATCTGAGAAGCCTGGACAGAGTGGGGCACACGATCCTCTAATGGACGAGCCCCTGCAGGCAGAGGAAACAGCCGTGCAAAGGCCCCGAGGCAGCAGCGAGCTCTTGCGGGAAGGCCCATGAGGCTGCAGCCAAATGGGCAAGGTCAGAGTGAGGAGCAGAGGCCAGAACCACAGGAAGGGAGCGGCCAGACCCTCCACGGCCTTAGGGCGTCCCTGAGATTCCATCGGGAAAGGGATGTAATCGGATCACCCCGGGAACAGTGAGGAAAATTGACTCCAGGAGGTCAGGGGGACTCAAGGACACCCCCCACCACTGTCTCTCTCCAGCAGAGCCCACATGATGAAGACCCCCAGGCAGTGACGTATGCCGAGGTGAAACACTCCAGACCTAGGAGAGAAATGGCCTCTCCTCCCTCCCCACTGTCCGGGGAATTCCTGGACACAAAGGACAGACAGGCAGAAGAGGACAGACAGATGGACACTGAGAGAGTCCTTTCCTCTCCAGGCCCCCAGGCCTCCCCCACCCCCACCACGTTCCTTACCTCTCACTCTCCCCCGCTGCAGGCTGCTGCATCTGAAGCCCCCCAGGATGTGACCTACGCCCAGCTGCACAGCTTGACCCTCAGACGGAAGGCAACTGAGCCTCCTCCATCCCAGGAAAGGGAACCTCCAGCTGAGCCCAGCATCTACGCCACCCTGGCCATCCACTAGCCCGGAGGGTACGCAGACTCCACACTCAGTAGAAGGAGACTCAGGACTGCTGAAGGCACGGGAGCTGCCCCCAGTGGACACCAATGAACCCCAGTCAGCCTGGACCCCTAACAAAGACCATGAGGAGATGCTGGGAACTTTGGGACTCACTTGATTCTGCAGTCGAAATAACTAATATCCCTACATTTTTTAATTAAAGCAACAGACTTCTCAATAATCAATGAGTTAACCGAGAAAACTAAAATCAGAAGTAAGAATGTGCTTTAAACTGAATCACAATATAAATATTACACATCACACAATGAAATTGAAAAAGTACAAACCACAAATGAAAAAAGTAGAAACGAAAAAAAAAAACTAGGAAATGAATGACGTTGGCTTTCGTATAAGGAATTTAGAAAAAGAATAACCAATTATTCCAAATGAAGGTGTAAGAAAGGGAATAAGAAGAAGAAGAGTTGCTCATGAGGAAAAACCAAAACTTGAAAATTCAACAAAGCCAATGAAGCTCATTCTTGAAAATATTAATTACAGTCATAAATCCTAACTACATTGAGCAAGAGAAAGAAAGAGCAGGCACGCATTTCCATATGGGAGTGAGCCAGCAGACAGCCCAGCAGATCCTACACACATTTTCACAAACTAACCCCAGAACAGGCTGCAAACCTATACCAATATACTAGAAAATGCAGATTAAATGGATGAAATATTCAAAACTGGAGTTTACATAATGAACGTAAGAGTAATCAGAGAATCTGACTCATTTTAAATGTGTGTGTATGTGTGTGTATATATATGTGTGTGTGTGTGTGTGTGTGTGTGTGAAAAACATTGACTGTAATAAAAATGTTCCCATCGTATCAACTCCAGTTCAGGAAGTTTCACTGGTGATTTCTTACAAATATTGACGCACTAATGAAACACACAAACACACCCAGAGCATCACAAATGTTTCTTGAGAATAGAAAAAGAGGCAATGTGCCCGGGTGCGGTGGCTCACGCCTGTAATCTCAACACCTAGGGAGGCAGAGGCCACAGATTACTTGAGGCCGGGAGTTCAAGACCAGCATGGCCAACAAGGCAAAACCCCATCTCTACTAAAAATACAAAAATTAGCTGGACATGGTGGCGCACGCTGCAATCCCAGCTACTTGGGAGGCAGAGGCAGGAGGATCACTTGAATGAACCCGGGAGGTGGAGGTTGAAGTGAGCAAAAACAAACCCCCTACAATTCAGCCTAGGATATGTTTATTAAATTTACATTTGTCTTTTTGCTTAAGATTGCTTTGGTATTCATCCTCTTTTTGGTTCCATATGAATTTTAGGATTTTTTTCTAATTCTGTGAAAAAAATGATGTTGATATTTTGATGGGAATTGCATTGAACCTAAATATTGCTTTGGGAAGTGTGATCATTTTCACAATATTGATTCTGCCAATCCATGAGCATGGGATATATTTCTATTTTGCTGTGTCATCTACGATTTCTTTCTGCAGCATTTTGTTGTTCTTCTTGTAGAGATCTTTCACCTCCTCAGTTAGGTATATTCTTAGATATTTTTAATTTTTTGCAACTGATGTACAAGGGATTGAGTTTTGCAGCAACCTGGATGAGCTGGAGGCCATTATTCATGACACCACATCCAGCTAATTTTTGTATTTCTTGTAGAGATGAGGTTTTGCCATGTTGCCCAGGCTGGTCTTGAACTCCTGGGCCCAAGTGACCCGCCCGCCTTGACCTCCCAAAGTGCTGGGACTGCAGGCATGAGCCACGGTGCCTGGCCCATCATAGCACTTTTGATCATTAGGATAATTCCTTCTCCTTGTCATTTTTGGACACATGCTTCCCACATGCCTCATCTTCCAGAGAGGGTTTCCACCAGGGCTGTGCTGGGAGTTAAGGCTGGAAAAGGGGAGATGGTTCCACCTGCCAGTGCCACATGAGTCTACTCAGGGCTGTAACCAGCAGGGAGGGTCCAGTGTGAGCCTCAGACTCGCATGTGGGACAGACGCCCATGTGTGACAACGCTGCAGTGAATCTGTTTCACACACATGGAGGAGGCGGCTCAGGGCTGACCATGGACCTGAGTCAATGAGCAGAGATATCCCAGTGCCATCCACAAACACAGGGGAGAAGGAGCCACAACTTCCCACTTTCATCCAAAACCCCGACCCCTCCCTGTCTGTGAGGGCCCTGGGGTTCTCCTCTGTCTCATACAGAGGCAGAAACCTCCCCCTTAGTGACCCCCAGCTTTGCAAGTCACCAGCAGCCCCTCGGCGCTGGCATCTTCTGCTTCTTAAGGTTTCCTGCCTATGACAGGAAGTCTCATTTCTCATTTTCTTCATTGGACCATGGCTACATATTTCAGACACATTATAAGTAGGTTTTCCCAGTGTTAGGAGCAGATGTGGGCTGTTGAGCACATAAGTCACTCACCGTGACTGTGCAGTCCAACACCAGGATCCACTCATGTTTCAACCCCCAAGACTTAACCCGGTCTGGAAATGTACCATGACTGAGGCCCTCCCATGACCCAGGCACCACTGGCCCCCAAAACCACTCAGGAGGGGGGTTCATGACAACAGGCTCCAAATGAGGAAACCGAGGCTCAGAGATGGGACTTACTGCCCAAGGTCATGCACGCAGGGATGAAGGTGAGCAATTCAGAAAAAATTAACTCCCTATCCCACCCCCAAATCAGAGCTCAAGACAAGTACTTGTTCCCAAAACCTTGAAGGCAGACTGAGATGCAGGGGAATGCCCAAGGAAGCGGGGCTGGGGGTGGGAGGGACGCCAAGGAGGCAGGAATGACTCAGAGGTTACTTTTAAGGGAGGGGGACCTGAACACTATTAAAAAAAATAGGAAGAAAAAAAAGAAGGGAAGTCTAAGAAGGAAACTGGAAGAAATAAAACCCATACTCCAAAGACAAAAGAAGAGTCAGCATTTCTTTATTTCTCCTTTTTTCTTCTCATTGCCAATTGCAGCTCAACTTGAATTTCACAGCCCGATGTGAGATGCGTCTCTGCTGATCTGAGCCTGTCCTGCAGCATGGACCTGCAACTTTCCTGAAGCATCTCCAGGGCTGGATGCCATGGTAAGGATCCCGCAATGCTGTGTTGATGGACAGGCTGAAGGAGGGAAGAGAACCCCACAGGGAGGCTCTGAGAAGAAGAACAAGCCCCCAGTCACCCTCACTTGGACAGGACAGACTCAGAAAGGTGCTGGGTCTGTCGGCTCCTACGTCCTGACCCTTGATGAGATGAAGACAGATGAGGCAAATCGCAGAAAAGGGTCAGGGAGATACCATTTCTGTATGAAGTATCTGAAGACAGCCTGGTGCCTGCCCCAGTCCCAGCCTTGGGGAAATGAAAGTCAAGCTCCCGGAGAGGGCAGTTCCCCTTCTTTTGGGGCTGATGACGGGACAACCTCGTGATGGAGAACCCAGGTTCCCAGTAGATTTACTCCATCCAGGAACGGTGGCCTCATCCATCTGCACAGCTGGGGGCTGTGGAGGAGACGCCATGACTCCCTCCCACAAACCTCTGATCTGTCTTGATGAAATTGAAAGAGGGAGAGGGGAGACTGTAGCCTGGAAGGAATCCCACCTCACAACTTGGTCCTGATTGAATAGAAGACCCCAGAGGTTCACAGAGATCCCAAGGTGGGGAGGATCTGCCCAGGGTTCAGGAGGCGAATCTCTCTCAGGAAGCTCCGTGACCCCCTCTCTAGTGTCACTCCTGTGCCTCAGTGGGATTTGGAGAGGATGCCTTAGATTAGAGGGTATTGTTCAGTGGGATTTGGAGAGGATGCCTTAGATTAGAGGGTATTGTGTCTTTCAGCAACAAAACCGTACAAAAAAACACCTGGACATTTCACATCAGTGGATAAAGCATATCTTGTGCCAAATCAGGACCAAACTGCGGTGAAATTTCGGGTTCACATTACAGTTAATCGCCTTTGAGGAAAGCATTCCAGGTTGGTGCCTATCTCTGCGATAAACGTCTCCCTTCCTGGCTACAGGTAATGGATTAAAGCGACACTGGCCGAACAGACACTGTCTTCACCCGATGATTATACTGAAAAATGGCCATAAATTTGTTCCCTCCAAATCCAATTCCCTTTGTGACAACTCTCAAAAGAAGATATACGAACGGTCCACAAACATATGAAAAACATGTATGTGTATGTGTGTATATACACACACACAGCACGGAATACTACTCAGCCACAAAAAGGGACAAAATAATGGCATTCGCAGCAACCTAGATGCAGTTGGAGACCATTATTCCAAGTGAAGTAATTCAGAAATGGAAAACCAAACATCATATGGTCTCATAAGTGGGAGCTAAACTATGAGGATGCAAAGGCATAAGAAGGATATAATGGAATCTGGGGACTCACAGGGAACAATGGGAGGGGGATGAGCGATAAAAGACTACACATTGGGTGCAGTGTACACTGCTCGGGTGATGAATGCACCAAAATCTCAAAAATCACCACTAAAGAGCTTATCCACGTAACCAAACACCACCTGTTCCCCAAAAGCTATTGAATTTTTTTTTAAAAAATAATAAATTAAAATAAATGTACTACATTAAAAACAACAACAAAATGGCAAAAATCCAATTGCACATAGCAAAATGTTTTCGTGGTCTCTGCACGCTAGAGCATGTAATTGGTCTTTGTTCCTTTCTACTGTTGAAGAATATTCCATTCTATGCCTATATCACATTTGGTTTATGCATTCACCAATTGATGGACATTTGGGTTGTTTTCACTATTTAGCTATCATGAATAATGACAAAAAAAGGACATATATTTGTTTGGGTTTTTTTATTTTTAAAAGGTTACAATTATTTATTTATTTATTTATTTACTGAGACAAAGTTTCACTCTGTCGCCCAGGCTAGAGTGGAGTTGTGAGATCTTGGCTCACTGCAACCAGTTCAAGCAAATTTTTGTGCCTCAGCCTTCTGAGTAGCTGGGATTACAGTTGTGCACCACCACAGGAGGCTATTTTTTTTAATTTTAGTAGAGACAGGGTTTCGCCGTGTAGGCCAGGCTGGTCTCGAACTCCTAGACTCAAGCCTTCCACTCGCCTCAGCCTCCCAAAGTGCTGGGATTAGAGGCGTGAGCCATCACACCATGCCAAAAGGTTATAATCATTTAAATTCGGGTTGCAACTGTATGCTTACAATTCTCTACATTTAGATTTAAAAACATTTTATTGATGGTCAATCTGGAACATAATTAATGCATCTTAATTAAGTTTCCACTGATGTATATAGAAGGCTAAAGGCTGAAGTTTTATTCACCTCTAGTAGAGTAACCAACCATAAAATCATTAGTTACTTTCAACTTCATAACTAATTGACATTTCCCAAATGAGCTGTCTTTAATCCTGATAGTTCTTTAGTTTTAAAAATATATTTGCCATGGGATGCTGATTTGCAATGGGTGTCATAATGAGAATAACCAAAATTGGGTAAACGTGACAAAATGTTGACAAAATGTTTCACACCCTTAAATTACACAACGTCAATAATGAGGAGAAAGCATTGCAAAAGGAGACTACTGCAATGCTACTTATATTCTTGCAATAAAACCAGCAAAGCATCCACATCAAGAGAGTTCTCATCTCACTTCCAACTTCTTCCCCTCAAGAACAATTTGAATCTCTTTGGCACCTAAAGTCTCATAGGTCAATAAAGCTTCTGCTAGATTCTTATGCTCCTCTGCATGACTTTTCAAGATAAGTTTTGCTCATTTTTTTTTTAAGGTTTGCATCATTCTTCTTCATTTTTGACTTGATTTTCCATTCAACATCACCAACAAGTTTTTAGCGAAATGTAATAATTATATAATTAAACATCTTTCATGGATCACCCTATCCATCTCTACTATATAAATTTAAGATTCTAAATGTTTTAAAAATACTTCTTGATTATGGTTATTAATTGTTCACATGTCCACTGGTAAATATTACTTATTCCTAGACTGAAACAGAGCTAAACGTCAATACTATATCTAGTTTTCATTTGTATAGATACAGGACTGAGAAAATTTGTTCATCTAAATAAATACTATGGATGGGGTAGGATGGTGTTTTGTTATAACCATGTCATACAATTATTTGAATTTTGAATAAGTTTTGCTCATTTATATGAGTCCCTTAGAATGGTTCTTATTTCATGTTCAATAGCAGATTGAGTTTCTGGACTTAGTTTCCCTGTGTCACTGTAGGTCATAACTCCAAGCTTTTCGCTAATTCCAAATTTGATAACCATCTGCTTTGCCATTTTAGTGGCATTAGCAAAATCACTGGAAGCACCTGTTGTAATATGGTCAATTCCAAATATAAGCTCCTCTGCCACTCTTGCTCCCATACTAATGTCCATTTGTGCAAGCAGCTGGGCTCTGGTTTCATTCCATCTGTCATCACCAGGTAATGGGGACACAGGTCCAAATGTTGGCCCCTGTGGCATGATTGTAGCTTTGTTGATAGACATTTCATCTTTTGTGTAATATGCAATAATGGCATGACCAGATTCATGATAAGTTGTGATGGATTTGTTTTTGTTATCAATTTCTGTACTTCTTCTGTCAGGCCACATTATAATTTTGTCTTTGGAAAACTTCAGTTCCTTCATGGTAACCACTTCTTTTCCATCAACAGCTACAAAAGGACGTGTATTTGGTGTGATTTTATGCACATGAAATATCCAGAATAGACAAAGCCATAGAAACTGAGAGTAGACTAGTGATTTCTTAAGGCTGAGGGAAGGGAAGAACTAGGACTGACTACTTGGGGGTTCTTTCTGAGGTGATGGAAATGCTGTGGGATGAGGTAGGGATGGTGATTGCACAGCATAGTGAAGACACTAAAATCCATTTATTTGTACACTAAAAAATGGTGCATTTCATATGGTGTGAGTTATGTCACATAACTCAGTAAGTAAATAAATAATTCATATCCCGGCTTCTGCCCAGGGTTTGGGGAGCTGGAAAGAGTTTCACTAGCTGGGTGCGGTGGCTCACACCTGTAATCCCAGCATTTTGGGAGGCTGAGGTGGGTGGATTGCCTAAGGTCAGGAGTTTGAGACGAGCCTGGAAAACATAGTGAAACCCTCTCTCTACTAAAAATACAAAAAAAAAGCTGGGCATGGTGGCACATGCCCGTAATCCCAGCTACTGGGGAGGCTGAGGCAGGAGAATCACTTGAACCCAGGAGGCAGAGGTTGTAGTGAGCCAAGAACACGCCATTGCACTCCAGCCTGGGCAACAAAAGCGAAACTCCATCCCTCCCCCTCCCTCCCCCACTCCAAAAAAAGAGCTTCTCTGCAATCCTAACCATGAGTAAAACTCAGATCAACTCCATAATGTAGATTTCACCTGAGACCATCAGAAATCCGAGCTCTGGGAGCAACTGAGTAACCTGAATTCCAAGGAGGAGTAGGATGCCATGACAGGCTCTACAAAGGCAGAACACATGAGGGTGGGAGACTGCCATACAAGCTGGGAAGGAGGAATCAGATGATATTGTCATGAATTCCTCAAGAGTCAGTGTTTGCTGGCCTCCAAGAGGCAAGGATCTCTGGGAACTTAAGACAGAGAAGCACTTCACACTCACCCATGAGCTCTTTTCCGTGGGTCTCAACTGGGCATTCACAACATAGATTGGAAGTAAGGTGGAGACCCAAAATTTGTGATCAGACATGATTACCTTCCACAGTGTGTGGCCTGAAATCTCACCCCCTGCCCAGATACTTCTCCCATGTGTAGAAAAAGACTGAAGTCATTGAGAGAGGTTCAGAAAAACCAGCCAATCTCAGGCCCCAGGTAAAAACCCATTGTGGATATAAGAAGGTAGATTTAAAAGTCCCTCTATCCCTAGGAGTACTGCAGAAAATTCCTGAAACCATAATCCCAGATATACAAATGTCAGGGAAGGGACAGGAAATTCCTGCCCAAGTCAACCAAAGCTACCAAGTACAATCCAGCTGCCAAGGGGAAGAAGGACACAAACACTGAGCAAGCTCCACCCTCAAGGCCCACTCATATAGAAATTGTCCAAGACTGAGGCTGGGTGAGGACAGGAGAAATTTATACTCCCTACCATGAGCCTATCCCTGAGAAGCAAGCAAGAGCAGTCCACAGCTGGGGGAGGCACCAGGTGGAGTACAGAATTGATGCAGTGGAATCCATCCAGCTGTGGGGTCAGCAGGCCCAATGCAAGCAGGAGGGGCCCGTGAATGGGATAGCCATGGAGCAAGAAAGGAGGACATGCATGAACCCAACACCAGTGACTCCCTCTCACCAAGGACCACGTAGCCACCACTGTAGCTGAAAGTCTCACCTGTGACCAGCAGAGAGGTCTGGATGTGATGCCTGGTAGTAACTTGATGCCATGGAACACATTCCACCCACGAGGGGGCAGCAAACCTTCCTTAGTCTGAAGGATGCTTGTGCTGAAAATGGGTTTGACGGAGCTCCTCGCAGGGGTCTGTGAGCACTCAGAATGTCTGACTTGTTTAAACGAAATAACCCATGACTTATTCTCAGAATGGGAATCCAGATGCCCACAAAATCCGTGGAGGGAATGAGAACATGGCCACGTGATATTCTGGGAATGACCTGAGATATGTACTATGCAGTGGTTTGGTTTTACTGGGACTGAAAGAACATTGAAATGGCCTCTTGAAATTGGATGTATTGAACAGTTTGTGAATGAGACTCTGCAGTTTGGGGGTTCTGTTACAGTAGCTGTAAATAAGCATACAGAAAGCTGTAGATGATATACATACAGATATAGCTATAAAGACAATAAATGGACCAGGTGCGGTGGCTCACGCCTGTAATCCCAGCATTTTGGGAGGCCAGGGCAGGTGGATCACCTGAGTTCAGGAGTTCGAGACCAGCCCGATCAACATGGTGAAACGCCATCTCTATTAAAAATACAAAAATTAGCCAGGCGTGGTGCTGCTCGCCTGTAATCCCAGCTACTTGGGAGGCTGAGGCAGGAGAATCGCCTGAACCCGGGAGGCGGAGGTTGCAGTGAGCCAAGATTGCACCATTGCACTCCAGCCTGGGCAACAAGGGCAAAACTCCGTCAAAAAAATAAAAAATAATAAAAAATAAATAAAACAATAAATCATGGTATGTCTTTTGACAGGTAGAATGCATGGGCTTGGGAGTAAAGTGAGAGTTTAATGAACAGCATCTATCACTAACTTTACAGATGACACACTTGGGAGATGTGCACATCCTGTGACTGCACTTTTAGGTGACCCTGGGTTAGAAGATCTGCCTGGTAAGAAACCACTACCAGGGAACAACACAAAAATTACTCTGTACCTAAAATGATGATGTAGCTGGTTTTCCTTGGGTTTCCTCATTACAGTACATCAGCAGGTAAGGAGAAAGATATCATACTGGCCTGGGTAATTTTCTTTAACGATGAGGAGGAGGATTTGGTGAAGAGAGGGTGGTTGGGCAGCTTAGATAATTCACTGTGGCAGTGATGAATTCTCCATAGCTGGAGGTAACCATGACTGGGGTTGGGGTTTGCACTGTGTCTCCAAAAAGGTATGTTGACATCCTAACCTCCCGTAGCTGTGAATATGAACTTATTTGGAAATAGGATCTTTGCAGGTATAATTAGTTAAGATGTGGTCATGCTGGCTTCGGGCAGGATCTAAATCCAATATTGCTCACATCTTTATAAGACATGAAGAAGACACACAGAGAAGAATAGGATGCCATGTGAAGATGGAGGCAGAGATTAGAATGAGAAGTCTGTAAACCAAGGAATGCCAAGAAATGCCAGCAAGGACCAAAGTCTAAGAAAAAGGCACAAAAGTGGCCGGGCGTGGTGGCTCATGCCTGTAATCCCAGCACTTTGGGAGGCCGAGGCGGGCAGATCATGAGGTCAGGAGATCGAGACCATCCTGGCTAACATGGTGAAACCCCGTCTCTACTAAAAATACAAAAAAATTATCCGGGTGTGGGGGCCGGCACCTGTAGTCCCAGCTACTGGGGAGGCTGAGGCAGGAGAATGGCATGAACCCGGGAGGCGGAGCTTGCAGTGAGCCGAGATCGCGCTACTGCAGTCCAGCCTGGGAGACAGAGCGAGATTCCATCTAAAAAAAAAAAAAAGAAAGAAAGAAAGAAGGAAAAAGCACAGAAGTTTCTTCTTCAGAGCCTCTAGAAAGAAGAAATTATATGAACATTTTGATTTTTTATTTCTGGCCTGCAGAACTCTGAGAGAATAAGTTTATCTTCTTTTTATTCAATACTTTGTGATAATTTGTTATATCAGCCTCCAAGAAACTAACACAATGGGCAACTCCCACAAGAAAGCCTGAAACAGGCACAATAATCAGGTGCTCAGATGCCTCAAGGTTGAAATTTATGTTTATTTCATTGGGCCGATAGTTGAGACAAGTAGAGTTTCTCATGCGAACTCTGGCAGAAGGTAAGCAGAACCTAGAGAGGGTGATAGACAGCAAAGCTGGTAAATATAAAGGATGACCTCGGGGTCAATTACAACAGAGAACACTGTACTTCTCCCCATTCACACCCATATGCTTTGTTTGCCTCATTTGTAGATAAATGTGTCCAGTGTGTTGTTGCTTTGGCAGCACATATACCAAAATCAGAATGATACAGAGAAGATCAGCATGGCAGCTGCACAAGGATATTAACAAATTTCATGAAGCATTTTATATATATATATTTTTTTTTAATGTGTCCAGCAAAGACCTGGAAGAAGTTATAGTGTGAAAAGACATGAACATGAAGTTCATGGGGCTATGAGCAGGGCAAAGTGTGGACTGCAACAGACAGGACAGACCCTGGTGATGCCCCATCGATGTTGCCTGGATCATGTCTTTTTTTTTTTTTTTTTTTTTTTTTTGAGACAGGCAGAGTTTTGCTCTTGTTGCCCAGGCTAGAGTCCAATTTTTGAGATGGAGTCTCACTCCGTCACCAGGCTGGAGTGCAGTGGCGCAATCTCGGCTCACTGCAACCTCCGTCTGCCGGGTTCAACTGATTCTCCTGCCTCAGCCTCCTGAGTAGCTGGGACTACAGGCGTGCACCACCACACTGGGCTAATTTTTGTATAATAGTGTGAGTTAATACTTAATAAACACTCGTATATATATATATATATATACACACACACATATATATATGGTGTATATACATATATATGTATGTGTATATATACACACATATATATACACACACATATATATACACACATGCATATATATACACACATATATGATTTTATATATATATATGTATACACACACACACACCAGGCTAATTTTTGTATAATAGTGTGTTAATACTTAATAAACACCCATATAGATATGGTGTATATACATATATATGTATGGTATATATATGTAGGGTATATATATACACACATATATACACACAAACATATATGTACACACATATATATACACACACATATATATACACACATATATGTACACACACATATATTTTTTGATATGTGTACATATATATACACCAGATACGATTATATATATATACACACAAACATATATATACACACATATATATACACAGAAACATATATATACACACATATATACACACAAACATATATATACACACACATATATATACACACACATATATACACACACATATATACATACACATATATATACACACAAACATATATACACACACATATATATACACACATATATACACACACATATATACATACACATATATATACACACATATATACATATATTTTTTGATATGTGTATATATACACACATATATATACCCCAGATATGATTTTATATATATACACACATATATATACACACATATATATAAACAAACATATATATACACACACATATATATACACACAAACATATATACACACACATATATACACACACATATACACACACATATATATACACACAAACATATATGCACACACATATATACACACACATATACACACACATATACACACACATATATACACACACATATATACACACACATATATACACACACATATACATATATATTTTTGATATGTGTATATATACACACATATATATACACCAGATACGATTTTACACACACACACACACACACATATATACGCCATTAGTTGTGTCCCTCTAGAGAACCCTAATACACAGCGTGTCACACTAGCGCAGGCACAGGCCATCACTCTTGTGAACACCCAAGGCACCGTTTCCACTTCAGCTCGGTCCCTGAGGGTCAGGATGCATCTGCCACTGGGAAAGGTGGATCGAGTGGCTCTAGGCAGCTTGGCACGACAGGGTAGTATAGAGCAACAGCTCAGCCTGGGGATGGCAGGCCACCAGGCAAGGCTGGCTCAGCAGTGACAATCCCTCAGCAGTGAAAGGATGCTGCGGCTACGTGTCCCCCAGAGATCCAGAAGTAGATCCCATTCCACAATGGCATAGTGCCAGAGCCGTGATGGCCGTGGACAGTGGGGCACAGTGTCAGTCTTTTCTCCTGGGTGAGTGCAGCTGTGTGGAATCTGGGTAGCTCCGTCAGCTGTGCTTAGTGTCTGTGAAAGGGAATCTCCAATGGTGAGATCTACAGGTGTCCAAAGTGTTGATGGAAGCTGCTAGGTCTTTTTCTCAGCTTTTTCCAGCAAGGAGAAGTCCCTCTTTATTCCAAGCTGATCCTGACTGAAGGATGGGGTGATAGAGGTGCAGTGCTACTTTCATTTATTACGTGGCCATCCTGTGATTTTTAATGAAATGGCTAAAATGGCAGACATAGAATTCAGAATCTGGATGCCAAACTAAGATCACTGAGGTTCAGAAGAAAGTTGAAACCCAATCCAAGGGATATAAGGAACCCAGTAAAATGACACCAGAGGTGGAAGATGAAATAGACATTTTAAGAAAGAAAGAAACTGATTTTATAGAGCTGAAAAACTCATTACAAAAATTGCATAATATAATAAAAAGTAGTAACGGCAAAATAGACCAAGGTGAGAAGAAAATCTCAGAGCTCAAAGACTGCTTCTATGGCCAGGCGTGGTGACTCACGCCTGTAATCCCAGCACTTCGGGAAGCTGAGGCGGGCGGATCAACTGAGGTCAGGAGTTCGAGACCAACCTGACCAACATGGTGAAACCCCATCTCTACTAAAAATACAAAATTTGCCGGACGTGGTGGTGCATGCCTGTAATCCCAGTTACTAGGGAGGCTGAGGCAGGAGAATTGCTTGAACCCATGAGGTGGAGGTTGCAGTGAGTCAAGATTGTGCCATTGCACTCCAGCCTGGGCAACAAGAGCGAAACTCCATCTCAGAAAACAAAAATAAAAACAAAATTAAAAAAGACTGCTTCTGTGAATCAACGCAGTCAGACAAAAATAAAAAAAATAGAATTTAAAAGAATGAACAAAACCTCTGAGAATTATGGGATTATGGAAAGAGACAAAACCTATGACCCATTGGCATCCCTGAGTAAGAAAGGAAGCAAGCAACTTGAGAAACATATTTGAGAATATTATCAATAAAAATTTCCCCAACCGCACTAGAGAGCCAACATTCACATTTAGGAAACTCAGAACACCCCAGTGAGATACTATACAACAAAACCATCCACAAACAACATACTCATCAACTTCTCCAAGATCAACGTGAAAGAAAATTATTCATGGCAGCTAGAGAGAATAGGCCAGTCATCCAAAAGACGTACCTCATCAGGCTAACAGTGAACCTTTCAGCATAACCCTAAAAGTCAGAAGATATTAAAGATATTAGGGTATATTTTCAGCATTCTTTTTTTTTTTTTTTTGAGACAGAGTCTCGCTCTGTCACCCAGGCTGGAGTCACCCAAGCAGCGACTGTGTGCTTGGGGAAGGGAGAAGGCAGGACTGAACTCAATGCTGCCCTGTCACACTGGAAAGCCACACTGGGCTGATTGCAACTGATGCCCGTTCATGGAGAAAGCATTTGATGAGCTCTACCCAAAGGGGAACTGCCCAGAAAATCAGTTGGAACTTGAGATTCAGCAAGTCCCACCTGAGACCTCAGGCTAAAGTGCTCTGGGTTTGTTTTTTTGTTTTGTTTTGGTTTTAGATGGAGTCTCGCTCTGTCATCCCAGGCTGGAGTGCAGTGGTGCAATCTCGGCTCACTGCAACCCCTGCCTCCCAGATTCAAGCGATTCTACTGCCTCAGCCTCCCAAGTAGCTGGGACTACAGGCACGTGCCACCATGCCCAGTTAATTTTTGTATTTTTAGTAGAGATGGGATTTGGCCATATTGGCCAGGCTGGTCTCAAACTCCTGACCTCATGATCTGCCCGCCTCAGCCTCCCAAAGTGCTGAGATTACAGGTGTGAGTGACTGCGCCTGGTCTGGGGTCTTAAACAAGCTTGAAAGAGTCTAGGCCACAAGTACTGTGATTCCTGGGAAAATCCTAGTGCTGTGCTGAGTTTGGAGCCAGTGAATTTAGAGAAATCAGCAAACGTAGCTAAGGGTGTACTTGTTTCATCCTTCCCACTACCCAAGGCAGCACAACTTGTAGCAACAAAAGTGATTCCTTCCTTCTGATTGAAGAGAGGAGAGGGAAGAATAAAGAGGACTTTGTCTTTTATCTTGGATACCCACTCAGCCACAGTAAGATAGGGCAACAGGCAGAGTCCTGAGGTCCCCATCCCAGATGCTAGCTCCTGGACAACATTTTTCCACATACCCTAGGCCAGAAGGGAAATTGCTGCCTTGTGGGGAAGGATTTAGTCCTGGCAGAATTCATCACTTGCTAACTGAAGAGCTCTCAGGCCCTGAATAACCAGCAGCAATATACAGGTACTATGTCGTGGGCCTTAGGTGAGACTCTGAGACTTGCTGGCTTCAAGTGAGACTCAGCACCTTCCCAGCCATGTTGACTGTGGGGTGAGAAAAGTGGAAGAAAAAGTAAAAGGGACTTTGTATTGCACCTTAGGTACCAGCTCAACAACAGGGGATAGAGTGCCAAGTAGGCTCTCAGGTCCTCAATTCAAGGACTTTGCTCTTAGAGATCATTTCTGGACCTGCCCTGGGCCTGGGCAGAGCCCAGTGTCATGACGGATGAATAGCAGGCCAGGAAGCCTTCACCACAAGCTGACTGAAGATCCCTTAGGGCTTAAGAGAACACTGGCAGTTCTCCCTGTAAGCCTGTTGTGGCAGTGGTCATGGCATGAGGCTCCTTTGCCTTAAGAAAGGGGAGGGATGAGTAGGAAGGACAGTATCTTGTGGCTTGAGTGCCAGGTCAGCTGCAGTGCAATAGAACGCCGGGTGGACTTCAAGGATTTTATTTATTTATTTATTTATTATTATTATTATTATTATTTTGAGATGGAGTTTCACTCTTGTCACCCAGGCTGGAGTGCAATGGCTTGATCTCGTCTCACCGCAACCTCCGCCTCCCGGGTTCAAGCAATTCTCCTGCCTCAGCCTCCTAAGTAGCTGGGATTACAGGCATGCACCACCACGCCCAGCTAATTTTTTTGTATTTTTAGTAGAAACGGGGTTTCTCCATGTTGGTCAGGCTGGTCTCAAACTCCCGACCTCAGGTGATCCGCCCGCCTCAGCCTCCCAAAGTGCTGGGATTACAGGCGTGAGGCACCACGCACGGCGGCGGAATCTGTTAAACACAAAAACGGGAGAGGTGGCCCCATGCTGATCATGGACTTCAGTCAGTGGGCAGAGATATCCCAGCTCCTGTCCACAAGCACGAGCAAGGGTGAACCACAGCTTTTCTTTTCCTTTTTTTTTTTTCTTTTTTTGAGACGGAGTCTCACTCTGTCCCCCAGGCTAGAGTGCAGTGGCGCGATCTCAGCTCACTGCAAGCTCTGCCTCCCAGGTTCACACCATTTTCCTGCCTCAGCCTCCCAAGTAGCCGGGACTACAGGCGCCCGCCACCACGCCCGCTTAATTTTTTCTATTTTTTTTTTTTTAAGTAGAGACGGGTTTTCACCGTGTTAGCCAGGATGGTCTCGATCTCCTGACCTCGTGATCTGCCCATCTCAGCCTCCCAAAGTGCTGGGATTATAGGCGTGAGCCACCGCGCCGGGCCGGGCCACAGCTTTTCATCTTCATCTGGAGCCCCTACCCCCTCCCTTTCCATGAGGACCTGGGGTTCCTCTTCTGTCCCACACAGAAGTGGAAATTTCCTCCCTAATGACCCTGGGACAGTCTTAGACACAAGCAGGCTGTCAGCTTTCAAGTTTGTTCTTTGATGTGCAACCTTCTCAAATTAAAGAACTTTTCATTTCTTTTTCTGCACAAAACTTTCATAATCTACATATTTCGGATGTATAATCTACATATTTCAGATGTGTGTATGTGTGTGTGTGTGTATATATATATATATATATATATATATATATATATATATATATGTATGTTTTGAGACAGGGTCGTGCTCTCTCACCCAGGCTGGAGTGCAGTGCTATGATCATACCTCACTACAGCCTGGACCACCCAGGCTCAAGCAATCTTCCCACCTCAGTGTCCCAAATAGTTGGGACTGCAGTCGTGCACAAACATACCTGATTATTTCTTCTTTGTTATATGCAGAGACGGGGTCTCACTATGTTCCCCAAGCTGGTCTTGAACTTCTGAGCTCAAGGGATCCTCCATCCTCAGCCTCCCTAGGTGCTCAGATTACAGGGGTGGGCCACCGTGCCGGGAACTTCAAACATAAGGAGCATTTCTTGGTATTTGGAGCAGATGTGGGCTCTTGAGTTGGGGCATCAATCATCCTCCTCTACTACGGAGCTCAATGCCAGGATCCTCTCACACCCCAACCACTCCTGTCTTAATCTGGTCTGGAAATTCACCATGGCCAAGCCCCCTCCCATGTCCCAGGCACCACTGAGCCCCACATCCACTCTGAGAAGCTGAGGTCATGACCACAAGTTCCAAAAGAGAAAGGCTCAAGCAAGCCACTTTGCTGTCCAAGGTCACATAATCGGTGGAATTAGGAAGAAAATTCAGCTCCCCACTCCACCCCATGAATCAGATGACAAACCTGAGTAATTGTTCTGAAAACCTTGAACATGGTTGGAGGCACAGAGGGACGGCCAAGGACAAAGGGGCACTGAGGAGGCAGGAACGACTTAGAGGTTCATTCCCAGCGGAGGGGTTTTGTTGCTCTGCCCTAGCCCTTGGTGAGCTGAGTATAGGTCAGGCCGACAGCGGCTAGGGCTCAGGGAGACCCCATTTCTGTCTGAAATGTCTGCAGAGAGCCTGGAGCTCACCCCAGCCCCATCCCTGGGGAAATGAGAGCCAGGCTCTTGGGGAGGGCAGTTCCCCTTCCTGTGGGGCTTCCGATGGGACAGTCTTGTGACAGGGAGAACCCAGCCTCCAGTCCACACTCTGCGTGTTTTTGTGTCCTGCCAGGCACCGTGGTCTCATCCGCCTGCACAGCTGAGTCCAGTGGGAGCTGACGCCATGACCCTCACCCTCTCAGTCCTGATTTGCCTCGGTGAGGTTTGAAGAGGGGGAAGGAAGGTCCCCGTCTTGGAGGGAGCTCACTCTAAAGCGAGGCTCTGGTCTATCAGAGAATCTGGTCTATCAGAGGCTCCGAGGGAGGAGAGGAACTGCTGGGGCTTCCAGGGGCAAATCCCTCACAGGGAACTCTCTTCCAGGGCTGAGTGTGGGCCCCAGGACCTGCGTGCAGGCAGGTGAGTCTGTCCCCAGCTGTCCCAGGTCCCTTCTTCTCACTGGGGACAAGGGCCCAACCCCGGGCAGCTGGGGGTGGAGATAGCTGTTCTGGGCTGACTGATGGGGACGTCTGGAGGGTCCTGGGGCTGAGAGCTGGAATCTGAGGGATGGGGATGTCTTGGGATCCAGCCTCTGATTCCATTCTAGGCACCCTCCCCAAACCCACCCTCTGGGCTGAGCCAGCCTCTGTGATAGCTCGGGGGAAGCCCGTGACCCTCTGGTGTCAGGGGCCCCTGGAGACTGAGGAGTACCGTCTGGATAAGGAGGGACTCCCATGGGCCCGGAAGAGACAGAACCCACTGGAGCCTGGAGCCAAGGCCAAGTTCCACATTCCATCCACGGTGTATGACAGTGCAGGGCGATACCGCTGCTACTATGAGACCCCTGCAGGCTGGTCAGAGCCCAGTGACCCCCTGGAGCTGGTGGCGACAGGTGAGAGGACACTCAGGGGTCCCAGCCCCAGGCTCTGCCCTCAGGAAGAGGGTCGGCTCTTAGGGACGTCTACCTCTCACAGCCCAGCCCTGGGGATGATGTGGGAGGTCGGAGCCCCACTTAAGACGTGCCTCCTTCTCTGCTAGGATTCTATGCAGAACCCACTCTTTTAGCCCTGCCGAGTCCTGTGGTGGCCTCAGGAGGAAATGTGACCCTCCAGTGTGATACACTGGACGGACTTCTCACGTTTGTTCTTGTTGAGGAAGAACAGAAGCTCCCCAGGACCCTGTACTCACAGAAGCTCCCCAAAGGGCCATCCCAGGCCCTGTTCCCTGTGGGTCCCGTGACCCCCAGCTGCAGGTGGAGGTTCAGATGCTATTACTATTACAGGAAAAACCCTCAGGTGTGGTCGAACCCCAGTGACCTCCTGGAGATTCTGGTCCCAGGTGAAAAAGCCACCACACTTCTTTATATAATTTTGGGGAACCAGATAGGTTGTTGGGAGTTTGGTTGATGACTGATCATGGCAAGGACCCCAGAAGGATGTGTTGATGGATGGGCTGAAGGCGTGAGGAAGACCCCACGGGGAGGCTCAGATGGGGAAACAGGAGCCTGAGTCACCCTCACCTGGAAGGGGTCGACTCAGGAAGGCAATGGGTGTATTTGCTGCAATTTCCTGTCCCTCGATGAGGAGAGGACAGACCAGACAGACAGTGGCCAGGAGTCAGAGAGACACTATCGGTCTGGAACTACTCCAAGACAGACCCAGGTGAGAAGGAGGCCCCGGGATCCGAGACACAGAGCGTGAGAGACAGTGAGACCTGCAGGGCCAGGACGCCAGGACGGGAGAAGGAAGGGGCGGGGGAGGAACCAGCCTTCCAAGTCCCAATTCCTCTTTCCCTCCAGGCGTGTCTAGGAAGCCCTCCCTCCTGATCCCGCAGGGCTCTGTCGTGGCCCGCGGAGGCAGCCTGACCCTGCAGTGTCGCTCTGATGTCGGCTATGACATATTCGTTCTGTACAAGGAGGGGGAACATGACCTCGTCCAGGGCTCTGGCCAGCAGCCCCAGGCTGGGCTCTCCCAGGCCAACTTCACCCTGGGCCCTGTGAGCCGCTCCCACGGGGGCCAGTACAGATGCTACGGTGCACACAACCTCTCCCCTAGGTGGTCGGCCCCCAGCGACCCCCTGGACATCCTGATCGCAGGTGAGGAGCCCAGCGGGTTCAGTCAGGGACCCAGGCTCTGCACAGGTCCTGCCGGGGGAATCCAATTAGTGATGGCCGGGATGAGGCGGGGGGGTGGTCCCAAGGGAGGGAGAGACAGACAGAGACAGGGGATGGGTGGGGAGGGGAAGACTCAGAGAAAACAGAGACAGAGGCTCCTAGAGAGGCCTGGGGAGGTCTCAGCTCAGAGCAAGGTGGGGCAGCCCCTCACCCATCCTTCTTCTCTCCAGGACTGATCCCTGACATACCCGCCCTCTCGGTGCAGCCGGGCCCCAAGGTGGCCTCAGGAGAGAACGTGACCCTGCTGTGTCAGTCATGGCATCAGATAGACACTTTCTTTTTGACCAAGGAGGGGGCAGCCCATCCCCCGCTGTGTCTAAAGTCAAAGTACCAGTCTTATAGACACCAGGCTGAATTCTCCATGAGTCCTGTGACCTCAGCCCAGGGTGGAACCTACCGATGCTACAGCGCAATCAGGTCCTACCCCTACCTGCTGTCCAGCCCTAGTTACCCCCAGGAGCTCGTGGTCTCAGGTGAGGGCCCTGACCCTGTCCTGTCCAAGCTCAAAGGCTCAGCTCAGGCCCTGCCCCCAGGAGAGCTCTGGGCTGGGATGGAGTCGCGGTGCGGGGGGGAGGGTTTGAGGGGGGCTCAGCCAGAGGGAGACTCACCCCTCAGAGGGGAGGAGGACAACGGGGGCTCCCCAGGCATGCCCACACTTGGCCCCATCTCCTGGGATGCAAATGGTGAAAGGTGAGCAGAAGAAAGTTTCCAGAGAAGCCACGGGCAGGTGGAGGGACGGGTTTCCTCACTCAGCACCAAAGCGCCTCGCTCCCTTTCTGTGCTTATTCCCAGGACCCTCTGGGGATCCCAGCCTCTCACCTACAGGCTCCACCCCCACACCTGGTGAGTCACTGAGGCCTCTGGGCTCGGAGGGAGCGTGGTCTCCCCCCAGGCAGCCCTGAGTCTCCCCGAGGATCCTATTCCCCTCAAAGACTCAAGCGGGAGCTTCCCTCCAGGGAGCTGGGCAGAGCCAGAGGAGGGGCCACAGGCTCCCCGGGGCTCTGAGGCTGGGCCGGTGAGGGGGCGGGCGTCGAGGCAGAGAGAGATGTTGGGTGTTGGGGCCCAGCCTGGGGGAGGAGCAGCCGGGCTGATGTGGGGAGCAGGGCAGCCCCAGCCCTCACCTCCCCGTCCTGACCCAGCAGGCCCTGAGGACCAGCCCCTCACCCCCACGGGGTTGGATCCCCAGAGTGGTGAGTGAGGGGCTCTGAGTGGGAGGTGGGCGGAGACCAGGGGAGGCAGGGGTGGGTTCTGTCGTAGGTTCAGGCTCCTCTGGAGATGGTGAAGTGCACAAGCCCTTCCCCTGCCTGGGCCTCAGTTTCTCCAAGTGTAAAGGAGAGAGGCCTGCATTGATGGGATTCTTCAGGGGACTGTCCTGTCCCACCGGCAGCAGTGACGGTGACCTGGGGCAGGGGAGGGGAGCAGGGCCGTGGTTTGGGGCATTCAGGCTCTTTCCCTGCAGCTCCGGGGCTCCGCTCAGGTGCAGAGAACAAGGGCTGCGGGTCAGACTCCTGGGTTCACTTCCCAGCTCTGCCGCATCCCACCGTGGGCCCAGGCAGGTCAACTTTCTACTCTGACTCAGTTTCAGCAGCTGTAAACTGGCTCAGTCCCATCCAGCTCACAGAACTGCTGCGAGGCGTAAGCAAAATCATGGGACCTGGCCCTGTACACAGCTCGGCAGGGGCACCGTCCTCCTGCTACCCTCAGCCCTTCCCAGATACACACAGAGCCCCTATCCAGACAGGTTCTGCATGGGAGTATGGGAACTTGGCAGAGTGGGAAACGGACCTGGCTGAGCTGGGAGTGAGAGCAATGCAGGGTCCGTCCTGCACAACCCACTCCCTCTCCCAGGCCCTGCTGTGCTGGGGAAGGGAGGATCCTAAGAAGGACACCAGCCCCAGATGGAGACACTAGGACAGGCCCCTCCTGTCAAATAGGAAACAGGTGTGCACCTGGTGGGGCAGCAGGAGGACAGCTGGGGAAAACACAAAGTCCCTGGTTCCCTTCCCAGACCTGCTTCTTCCAGGCTGAGGAGCCTGGGGCAGGCGATTCCCCTCTCTGAGCCTCAGTTTGCTCCTCTGTGAATTGGGGGGTTGGCAATCCCATGTTGCACAACTGCTGTGAGGGTTGGAGCTCATGAAGGAAAGACCTAGCTCGCGCCTGCACACAGAAGGTGCTCACATCAATGACGTCATCCCCATTCCCAACGTCATCACGCTCAAGGTCTGGGAAGGCACCTGGGGGTTGTGACTGGGGTCTCAGTGGCCTTCGTCCTGCTGCTGTTCCTCCTCCTCTTCCTCCTCCTCCGACATCGGCATCAGAGCAAACACAGGACATCGGGTGAGTAGGGAATGGGGGAACCCGTGGGCCGACCGAGGGTGGGCTCGGGGCACCAGCCAGAGGGAAACCAAACACAAAGGAAAGTCAGCTTAGAAAAACTGCTCCAGAAATTCCCAGGTGAAAAATCGATCGAGAAAGAAGAGAATAAATGTGAGCATGTGTGGAAGTGCTTGATTCTTCTGATTTTACTTTAAACTTACGACGTATTTAAAGCCTCAGTGCCAGTGGGCCTCCAGGTTTCCTTCTTTCCGCTCGAGTTGTGTGTGCAGGGCAGCTGGTTCGAATTCTCCCAGGCCTGACCCTCTGTCCATCTCTGTCCAGCCCATTTCTACCGTCCTGCAGGGGCTGCGGGGCCAGAGCCCAAGGACCAGGGCCTGCAGAAGAGGTAATTCTGCATGAAGACCCAAGACTCCCATCCACCCGCACAGCCCCCTCACTGCCCCTCACACTCCCGTGTCCTCCCCCAGGGCCAGCCCAGTTGCTGACATCCAGGAGGAAATTCTCAGTGAGTGACTAGAAGCGGAGGGCACCTGGGGTGGGCAAGGGAGCACCAAAGTTTCTGTAGCAATGGGGGCAGGAGCACAGGCTGGGGGGGGTCTGGGGCCAAGGGGGAGGCGGTCTGAACCCACACTGTGGGACCTCAGGGACATCACAGTCCCTCCCTGGATCTCAGCCACCCTAGTGGGAACAGGGCAAGGGCTGGCAGGACGGAGAAGTCTCAGAGAACCTTCCCAGGAGATGAACCCCTTGCTCTGGCCCAGCAGATGCTGCCGTGAAGGACACACAGCCCAAGGACGGGGTGGAGATGGATGCTCGGGTGAGGCCCCGCCCCTGTCCCGGGCACCAAAGGCCTCCTGGTGCCAGATCTAATCCAGCAGGACTTCTCTGTCCTCCTTCCCCCGGCTCTCAGCATCGTCACGGTGGACCCCTCCTTGTCCAGCACGCTGCCTCCCGCCTGCTGCGACCTCACTCTCTTCTGCTGTCCTGGGACCTCGTGGGCCTCCTCCCGGGTCCCCTTCCTGCTCCTCATCCTCTGTTTGGCCGTCTGGTTGTTAGAGCTCTCCCCAGGCCTCAGGAGGATGAGGAATAAATGAACCGACCCGGTCCCCCAGGCTCCCCTTCATTCATTCAACCAGCGAGTGTTCCCAGGGAGCTCACTGTGGATGGGGCTCCCCATGGGAGCTGCAGACACAGCAGGGAGCAAAGCCGCCCCCGCCTCCTGAGCTCACCTCATGGTGGGAGACAAAATGCAAATAAATGCATCGTGTCCAGGAGTGCAACGTGCTGTAAGGAACATAAACCAGGGAAAGGGCAGAGAGTGTGGGGCAGTGGGGCCAGTCTGAATGGAAGGGGAGGGCTGTCTGCTCAGCTGTCATCTGAGAAGCCTGGACAGAGTGGGGCACACGATCCTCTGATGGACGAGCCCCTGCAGGCAGAGGAAACAGCCGTGCAAAGGCCCCGAGGCAGCAGCGAGCTCTTGCGGGAAGGCCCGTGAGGCTGCAGCCAAATGGGCAAGGTCAGAGTGAGGAGCAGAGGCCAGAACCACAGGGAGGGAGCGGCCAGACCCTCCACGGCCTTAGGGCGTCCCTGAGATTCCATCAGGAAAGGGATGTAATCGGATCACCCCGGGAACAGTGAGGAAAATTGACTCCAGGAGGTCAGGGGGACTCAAGGACACCCCCCACCACTGTCTCTCTCCAGCAGAGCCCACACGATGAAGACCCCCAGGCAGTGACGTATGCCCCGGTGAAACACTCCAGACCTAGGAGAGAAATGGCCTCTCCTCCTTCCCCACTGTCTGGGGAATTCCTGGACACAAAGGACAGACAGGCAGAAGAGGACAGACAGATGGACACTGAGAGAGTCCTTTCCTCTCCAGGCCCCCAGGCCTCCCCCACCCCCACCACGTTCCTTCCCTCTCACTCTCCCCCGCTGCAGGCTGCTGCATCTGAAGCCCCCCAGGATGTGACCTACGCCCAGCTGCACAGCTTGACCCTCAGACGGGAGGCAACTGAGCCTCCTCCATCCCAGGAAAGGGAACCTCCAGCTGAACCCAGCATCTACGCCCCCCTGGCCATCCACTAGCCCACGGGGGACCCAGATCTCATACTCAACAGAAGGAGACTCAGAGACTCCAGAAGGCACAGGAGCTGCCCCCAGTGGACACCAATGAACCCCAGCCAGCCTGGACCCCTAACAAAGACCACCAGGACATCCTGGGAACTCTGGGACTCACTAGATTCTGCAGTCAAAGATGACTAATATCCTTGCATTTTTGAAATGAAGCCACAGACTTCTCAATAAATCAATGAGCTGAGAAAACTGAAACAGAAATTAGAGCATGGTATAAATTTGGAATGATAATGTAAATATTACACATTAAATGATGAAATCGGAAAACTACAAATGAGCGAATGAATTAGAAAAGAATAAAACCTACGTAATTAATGACCTTGGCAATGACAGAAAGAATTTAGAAAAAGAACAACAAATTATTCCAAATGAAGGTGTGAGGAAGGGGACAAAAATAACAAGAGGAGTTACTAATGAGGGCTACGTGAAAACTCGATGAAGCCAAAAAAGCTCATTCTTGAGAATGTGAATTACATTCACAAATCCTAGCCACAATAAGCAAGGAAAAAAGCGGGGTTCAGGCACACATTTCCATATGGGGGTGAAACAGCAGACACCACCACAAATCTGACACATATTGCCTTTATTTTTTTCACTTTTAAGTTCAGGGATACATGTGCAGGTTTGTTAGACAGATAAACTTGTGTCAAGGGGATTTGTCTTGGTTTTTGTGTGAGGGTTTTTGTTTTGTTTTGTTTTGTTTTTTGAGACGGAGTCTCGCTCTATCACCAGGCTGGAGTACAGTGGAGTGATCTCGGCTCACTGCAACCTCTGCCTCCCGGGTTCAAGCGATTCTCCTGCCTCAGTCTCCCGAGTAACTGGGACTACAGGCACCTGCCACCACGCCCGGCTAATTTTTGTATTTTTAGTAGAGACAGGGTTTCTCCATGTTGGTCAGGCTGGTCTCAAACTCCCGACCTCAGGTGATCCGCCCGCCTCAGCCTCCCAAAGTGCTGGGCTTACAGGCGTGAGCCACCACGTCCAGCCCATACATTTCAATTTTAAAGGGATGCGCCCTAGTCCTTAGTTAGTCTCTCCTCATCTCTATAAAATGTTCAGCTACTCACCTCTTGGGCTATTGCTAGACATCGTTTTCTCTTCCTTCTTTCTGACGCCTACAATAGATAGGACATTCCCCCTCCTCATTCTATTCTCCCAAGTACTTTAAATTGCAATTTATAAAGTTTCTATGCTACACTCTAAAAAAAATTCTGTTTTGTTTTCTAATTTCATAATTGGTGCTTCACTGTGTCTTGTCCTCGAAGGAATGAGTATTTTGATTGTGTTCATTAAATCTGATTTTTCTATGTCTTCTAATTATTTTATATAATATTCATTCTGCTGTAGAAAAAAAAATCATATAATCCTGCCTCAGAAATTCAATGTCCTCTGTATTTCTCAAATATTTAAACATGTTTAACCTAAGATGGGTCTCACACATTCCTAGTACTCCTTTTGACCATGATAATCCTCATTAGTGAGTGTGGATTGTCAACCATAGCACTTTGTGTTTGATTTTTTGGTTTGTTTTTTGTTTTTATTTATTTATTTATTTATTTTTTGAGACGGAGTCTCACTCTGTCACCCAGGCTAGAGTGCAGTGGCGTGATCTCAGCTCACTGCAACCTCTGTCTCCTGAGTTCAAGCAACTCTCCTACCTTAGCCTCCCGAGTAGCTGGGACTACAGGTGCCCGCCACCACAACCAGCTAATCTTTTTTTTTTTTTTTTTTTGTATTTTTAGTAGAGATGGGGTTTCACCGTGTGGCCAGGATGGTCTCGATCTCTTGACCTCATGATCTGCCTGCCTCGGCCTCCCAAAGTGCTGGGATTACAGGCGTGAGCCACCACGCCCAGCCTGTGTTTGTTTTTGAGACAGGTTCTTGCTCTGTCACCCAGGCTAAAGTGCAGTGGCGCACCACCCCAGTTCACTGCAACCTCCGCCTGCCAGACTCAAGCGATCTTCGACCTCAGGCTCCTAAGTAGCTGGAACTACAGGTGTGCACCACCACACCCAGTTCATTTTTGTCTTTTTAGTAGAGATGGGGTTTCACCATGTTGCCCAGGCTGGTCTCGAACTCCTGGGCTCCAGCGATCTGCCCACCTCGGCCTCCCAGAGCGCTGGGAAAATAGGCGTGAGCCATCGCAGGCAGCCAGTCATAGCACTTTTTATCATTAGGATGATTCCTCTTTCTTCTCATTCTTGGACACTC
Source organism: Homo sapiens (assembly GCF_000001405.40). Taxonomy (NCBI): domain Eukaryota; kingdom Metazoa; phylum Chordata; class Mammalia; order Primates; family Hominidae; genus Homo; species Homo sapiens. The sequence continues at coordinate 223,261 of NW_003571054.1, read as the reverse complement.
ATCTCCCAGTGCCTCATCTGCCAGAGAGGGTTTCTACCAGGGCTGCACTGGGCGTTAGGCTTGAAAAGAGGAGGACGGCACCACCTGCCCGGGTCTTGTGAGTCTGCTCAGGCCTGTAACCAGCAGGGGAGGGTCCAGTGTGAACCTCATGTCTGACAACTCTACAATGAATCTATTTCACACACACAGAGGGGGAGGCTCAGGGCTGACCATAAACCTGAGTCAATGAGCAGAGATACCCCAGTGCCATCCACAAACACAGGGGACGAGGAGCCACAACTTCCCACTTTCACCCAAAACCCCAACCCCTCCCTGACTGTGAGGGCCCTGGGGTTCTCCTCTGTCTCATATAGAGGCGGAAACCTCCCTTTTAGTGATTCCCTGACATTGCAAGTCACCAGAAGCCAACTCAGCTCTGACCTCGCTGCTTCCTGAGGTTTCCTGCCTGTGTCAGGAAGTTTCATTTCTCATTTCCTTCTATGGCTGCGTATTTCAGAAACATGTATTAGTCAGGGTTCTCTAGAGGGGCAGAACTAACAGGATAGATGTATATATAAAGGGGAGTTTATTAAGGAGTATTGATCCACACGATCACAAGGTGAGGTCCCACAATAGACTGTCTGTAAGCTGAGGAGCAAGGAAGCTAGTCCGAGTACCAAAACCTCAGAAGCCGAGAAGCCGACAGTGCAGCCCTTCAGTCTGTGGTCAAAGGCTCTGCATGGGAAGGTCAGGGATTGGCAGAGTAGGAGATGGACCTGGCTGGGCTGGGGGTGAGAGCAATGCAGGGTCCGTCCTGTACAGCCCACTCCCTCCCCCAGGCCCTGCTGTGCTGGGGAAGGGAGGGTTGTAAGGAGGACACAGCCCCAGATGGAGACACTAAGACAGGCCCCTGCTGTCAGATGAGAAGACCCAGAGCAGGAAGCAGGTGTCCACCTGGTGGGGCAGCAGGAGGACAGCTGGGGAAAACACAAGGTCCCAGGTTCCCCTCCCAGACCTGCTTCTTCCAGGCTGGGGGGCCTGGGGCAGGCGATTCCCCCCTCTGAGCCTCAGTTTGTGCATCTGTGAAATGGGTTGGGGGGTTGGCAATCCCACGTTGCACGACTGCTGTGAGGGTTAGAGCTCATGAAGACCCAGCACGCGCCTGCACACAGTAGGTGCTCACATCAGCGATGTCATCCTCATTCCCGACGTCATCACGCGCAAGGTCTGGGAAGATACCTGGGGGTTGTAACCGGGGTCTCAGTGGCCTTTGTCCTGCCGCTCGTCCTCCTCCTCCAATGTCGGCGTCAGAGCAAACACAGGACATTGGGTGAGCAGGGACTGGGGGAACCTGTGGGCCCACCGAGGGTGGGATCAGGGCACCAACCAAAGGGGAACCAAACACACAAGAAAGTCAGCTTAGAAAAACAGCTCCAGAAAGTCCCAGCTGAAAAATCTAGAAAGAAGAGAATAAATATGAGTGTATGTGCAAGTAATTTATTCTTTGAGCTTTTTATTTTATTTTATTTGAGACGTGATCTGGCTCTGTCACCCAGGCTGGAGTGCAGTGGTGTGATCTCGGCTCGCTGCAACCTCCACCTCCCAAGATCCTCAATGATCCTCCTACCTCAGCCTCCTGAGTAGCTGGGACTACAGGCCCCTATCACCACGCCAGGCTAATTATTTTTTTGCGGGGGAGAGATGGGGGGTCTCACTATGTTGCCGAGGCTGGTCTCAAACTCCTGAGTTCAAGCAATCCACCCGCCTCAGCCTTCCAAAGTGCTGGGATTATAGGCATGAGCCATTCGGCCCAACGTCTTCGGGCCTTTTTAAGTGTATCCAGTATTTAAAACAACTATGCCTGTAATCGCAGTACTTTGGAAGGCTGAGGCAGGTGGATGGCTTGAGCCCAGGAGTTTCAGAGGACTCTGGGCAATGTGGTGAGACCCCATCTCTACAAAAAAAATTAAAAATGCAAATAAGCCAGGTTTGGTGGTGTGCACCCGTGGTCCCAGCTACTCAAGACGCTGAGGCAGGAGGATCACTTGACCCTATGAGGTCAAGGCTGCAGTGAGCTGGGATCGCACCACTGTGCTCCAGCCTGGGCGACAGAGCGAGACCTTGTCTCAAAAAAAAAAAAAAATATATATATATATATATATATATATGGGTGTGTTTTCAAGTTTCATTTTTTCCCCTAAAGTCGCATGTACTGGGTGGGTGGTTCTAAGGTTCCCAGGGCTGAGACTTTGTCCTTCTTCACCTAGCCCAGAGAGAGGCTGATTTCCAACACCCTGCAGGGGCCGTGGGACCAGAGCCCAAGAACAGGGGTCTGCTGAGGAGGTAATTCTGCCCAAAGACCCCAGACTCCCACACTCCACCACACCACACTCTCGTGTCCTCCCCCAGGTCCAGCCCAGCTGCTGACATCCAAGAAGAAAACCTCAGTGAGTAAGAGGAAGAGGGGGTGCACCTGGGGTGCAGATGGGGACCCTGCAGTTTCACTAGTAACAGGAAGGGGCTGGGAAGGGTCTGGGGCTCAGGGGAACATGGTTCACTTCATACTGTGGAACCTCAGGGACATCACACCCGCTCCCTAGATCTCAGCAGTCCCACTGGGAGCAGGACAGGGGGAGGTGGTACTGAGAGGTCCCAGGGAAACTTACCAGGAGACGAACCCCTTGCTTTGCCCCAGCAGACCCTGCTGCGAATTTTTTTTTTTTTTTTTTTTGAGATGGAGTCTCGCTCTGTCACCCAGGCTGGAGTGCAGTGGCGCGATCTCGGCTCACTGCAAGCTCCGCCTCCCGGGTTCATGCCATTCTCCTGCCTCAGCCTCCCGAGCAGCTGGGACTACAGGTGCCCACCACCACGCCCGGCTAATTTTTTGTATTTTTAGTAGAGACGGTTTTCACCGTGTTAGCCAGGCTGGTCTCGATCTCCTGACCTCGTGATCCGCCCGCCTTGACTCCCAAAGTGCTGGGATTACAGGCGTGAGCCACCATGTCCCGCCTGAAAGTGAGACTTTTAACAGGGTCTTGCAAAATTGGATGTCTGCTAGGTAGGCATAGCCGGGGCAGTCACAGCAGGTAATTTATCTCTTGGCACTCAACTATCCCTTCCCCAGTTCCTCACTGGTCGAGTACTATGAGGTTACAATCTTCCCAGACTTCGCCTGAGTTTCATTATCCCCCTTATAAGGTTGTACCCCGTCCCCTTCCCCGCTTAAGTTGCGATTTCCCAATAACAAAATTTTTTTCCCTTTTATGGGCTGACCGCCTCCTCCCCCACAACCCCCCGCCATTCTGTTCACTTATTGTGATTTGCTAGGAGCATGAGCCATGCGGTTTGTTACATCCGCAGACTGGCTGCCAATACTTGGATATCATGCCTTGAAAATGGACCCTTTAAAATGTGTTCTCACAAATTCCCTCCTCTTTTTTATTTACTTCCTTTGGTCTCATTTTCATTTGAACCCTTCTGGTGCTTGAATCGCTTTAGAAGTTGTTTACTTTCTTTTTTTCTTTTTCTTTTTTTTTTTTTTTTGAGACAGAGTCTTGCTGTGTGGCCCAGGCTGGAGTGCAGTGGTGCCATCTCAGCTCACTGCAATGTCCGCCTCCTGGGTTCCAGCGATTCTCCTGCCTCAGCCTCCCCAGTAGCTGGGATTACAGGCGTGCACCACCATACCCAGCTAATTGTTTTTGTATTTTTAGGAGAGATAGGGTTTCACCATATTGGCCACGCTGGTCTCAAACTCCTGACCTCAGGTCATCCGCCCACCTCGGCCTCCCAAAGTGCTGGGATTACAGGCATGAGCTACCACGCCCGGTCAAATTTTTCACTTTATGGCTACATAGTAGGTGTATATATTTATTAAATTACTTTTCGATGGTATTAATTCAATTTACTATTTTTCACCTTCACGACGTCTGTCTAATGCATTTCAACAACTGTCTGTGTTTTCCTCACGTATCTTGGTTGTCATTCCTGTGGGGCGGCTCCTCCCACGCACCTGGCCTTTCATAAAGGGTTTCTCCCACGGCTGTCCAGGCATCAGCCTGATGAAGGGGATTGTTGCCGCTGCTCCTGCCCCACTCCCCCAAACTCAGTGTCAGCTCAAGATTGTGCCCAGCAGCGATGGGACCAACGCCAGCCTCACACTCACCTGTGGGGCAGACGCCCATGTCTGACCACCGTGGATCGAATCTGTTTCTCACACACAGGGGAGGGGCTGAGCGCTGACCGTGGCCTCCAGTGAGTGAGCAGAGACCCCCCAGCGCCTGTCCACACACACAGGGGAGGGGGAGCCACCGCTTCCAGCCTCACCCAGAGCCCTGACCCCTCCCTGCCTGGGAGGACGTGGGGTTCCTCTTCTGTCCCACATGGAGGTGGGAGCCTCCTCCTCCCTAATGACGCTCGGTGGTCCCAGACACCTGTGGCCACTCAGCATTGAACTCTGCTCATGGAAGGGGATGCGTCTCAATGTGAGGAACTGTTTTTCCTCTTTCTCTGCCTGTGGCTGTGATGATCTGCATATTTCAGACGTATCACAAGGAGAATTTCATGGTATTTGGAGCCGATGTGGGCTCTTGAGTGGGGGCGTCAATCATCCTCCTCGACTGTGGAGCCCAGCACCAGGATCCTCTCCCGTCCCCACCCTCCTGTCTGAACTGGTCTGGAAATTCACCATGGCTGAGCCTCCCATGTCCTGGGCACCACTGACCCCCACAGCCACTGTGATGAGTGGGGTTCATGACAGCAGGCTCAGAGGTGACATTCATGTCCAAAGTCACATAAACCCTAGATGATAATCAGGAATTAAATACAAATCAGCTCACCTTCCCCAGAATCAGATTATAGATTACAATGAAACATATATATATATATTTCTCTTTATCCCCTCTATTTCTCCTTTTTAGACAGGATCTTGCTCTGTCGCCCAGGCTGGAAGGCCAAGGGGTGATCATAGCTCCCTGAAGCCTCCGCCTCCCGGGCCCAAGTGATCCTCCCACCTCAGCCTCCTGAGTAGCTGGGACCACAGGCATGAGCCTCCATGCCCAGCTCACTTTTTTCTTTTCTGTAGAAACAGGGTCACAGTCTGTTTCCCAGGACTGTCTGAAGCTCCTGGCCTCAAGCCATCACCCGCCACAGCCTCCTGAAGTACTGGGATTCCAGGCATGAGCCACCACGGTAGACCCTGCATTTCTCTGTGCTCACTGCCACACGCAGCTCAGCCTGGACTACACAGCCAGGTGTCAGGTGCGTCTCTGCTGATCTGAGTCTGCCTGCAGCATGGACCTGGGTCTTCCCTGAAGCATCTCCAGGGCTGGAGAGACGACTGCCATGGTAAGGACCCCGTAACGCTGAACTGATGGACGAGCTGAAGGAGGGAGGGAGACCCCATGGGGAGGCTCTGAGAGGGAGGAGGAGCCCACGGTCACCCTCGCCTGAAAGGGGCTGACTCAGGAAGGCACCAGGTCTATTTGCGGCTGTGTCCCCGTCCTCAGTGAGATAAAGATAAATCAGGCAGACAGTGGCCCGGGGGCAGGGAGACCCCATTTCTCTCTGAAATGCCTGCAGAGAGCCTGGTGCCTGCCCCCACTTCAGCCCTGGGGAAATCAGAGCCAGGTTCTTGGGGTGGCAGTTCCTCTTCCTGTGGGCTGAGGATGAGACAACCCCATGACAAGAAGGACCCAGCCTCCGAGCGGCCACACCCTGTGTGTCTCTCTGTCCTGCCAGCACTGAGGGCTCATCCCTCTGCAGAGCGCCGGGTCACCGGGAGGAGACGCCATGACGCCCGCCCTCACAGCCCTGCTCTGCCTTGGTGAGATTTCAAGATGGGGAGGGGGAGATCCGAGTCTTGGAGGAACCCCACCCCACACACAAGCCCTGGTCCATCAGGAGACCTCAAAAGCTCAGGAGGCACCCGGGCGGGGACCTGCTCAGGCTTCAGGGCAAATGCCTCACAGGGAACTCTCTTCCAGGGCTGAGTCTGGGCCCCAGGACCCGCGTGCAGGCAGGTGAGTCTGTCCCCAGCTGTCCCAGGTCCCTACTCCTCACTGGGACAGGGGGCCACCCATGGGCAGCTGGGGAAGGAGACAGTAGTTCTGGGTGACTGATGGGGATGATGGGGAAGTCCTGGGGCTGGGAGCTGGGATCTGAGCGTGGGGATGTCTTGGGATCCAGCCTCTGATTTCCATCTAGGGCCCTTCCCCAAACCCACCCTCTGGGCTGAGCCAGGCTCTGTGATCAGCTGGGGGAGCCCCGTGACCATCTGGTGTCAGGGGAGCCTGGAGGCCCAGGAGTACCAACTGGATAAAGAGGGAAGCCCAGAGCCCTGGGACAGAAATAACCCACTGGAACCCAAGAACAAGGCCAGATTCTCCATCCCATCCATGACACAGCACCATGCAGGGAGATACCGCTGCCACTATTACAGCTCTGCAGGCTGGTCAGAGCCCAGCGACCCCCTGGAGCTGGTGATGACAGGTGAGAGGACACTCTGGGGTCCCAGCCCCAGGCTCTGCCCTCAGGAAGGGGGTCGGCTCTCAGGGGCGTCTCCCTCTCACAGCCCAGCCCTGGGGATGATGTGGGAGGTGGGAGCCCCATTTAACACGGTGCCTCTTTCTCTCCTAGGATTCTACAACAAACCCACCCTCTCAGCCCTGCCCAGCCCTGTGGTGGCCTCAGGGGGGAATATGACCCTCCGATGTGGCTCACAGAAGGGATATCACCATTTTGTTCTGATGAAGGAAGGAGAACACCAGCTCCCCCGGACCCTGGACTCACAGCAGCTCCACAGTGGGGGGTTCCAGGCCCTGTTCCCTGTGGGCCCCGTGACCCCCAGCCACAGGTGGAGGTTCACATGCTATTACTATTATACAAACACCCCCTGGGTGTGGTCCCACCCCAGTGACCCCCTGGAGATTCTGCCCTCAGGTGAGGGAGCCACGGCCTTGTCTAACACACTTTCGGGGCAGCTGACAGGTTGTGGGGAGTTTGGCTGGTGACTGAATCTGGAAAGGACCCAGAGTGATGTGTTGAAGGACGGGCTGAAGGCATGAGGGAGACCCCATGGGGAGGCTCTGACATGGGAGGAGGAGCCCTTGACCACGTTCACCTGGAAGGGGAGGACTCAGGAAGGCATCGGTGTGTTTGCTGTGAGGTCCCAGCTCTCAGGGAGAGGAGGAAAGATCAGGCACAGTGGCCAGGGCTAGGGAGACCCCACTCCTCTGAAATGACTCCAAGACAGCCCCGGGTGAGAAGGAGGCCCTGGGGTCAGAGACTCAGAGCGTGAGAGACAGTGAGACCTGCAGGGCCAGGACGGGAGAAGGAAGGGGCGTGGGAGGAACCAGCCCTCTCAGTCCTGGCTCCTCTTTCCCTCCAGGCGTGTCTAGGAAGCCCTCCCTCCTGACCCTGCAGGGCCCTGTCCTGGCCCCTGGGCAGAGCCTGACCCTCCAGTGTGGCTCTGATGTCGGCTACGACAGATTTGTTCTGTATAAGGAGGGGGAACGTGACTTCCTCCAGCGCCCTGGCCAGCAGCCCCAGGCTGGGCTCTCCCAGGCCAACTTCACCCTGGGCCCTGTGAGCCCCTCCCACGGGGGCCAGTACAGGTGCTATGGTGCACACAACCTCTCCTCCGAGTGGTCGGCCCCCAGCGACCCCCTGAACATCCTGATGGCAGGTGAGGAGCCCAGCGGGTTCAGTCAGGGACCCAGGCTCTGCACAGGCCCTGCCGGGGGAGCCCAGGTGGTGATGGCCGGGATGAGGGGTGGGGGTCCCAAGGGAGGGAGAGACAGACAGAGACAGGGGATGGGGGGAGGGGAGACTCAGAGAAAACAGGGACAGAGACACTGAGGGTCCCAGGGAGAGGCCTGGGGAGGTGTCAGCTCAGAGCAAGGTGGGGCAGCCCCTCACCCATCCTTCTTCTCTCCAGGACAGATCTATGACACCGTCTCCCTGTCAGCACAGCCGGGCCCCACAGTGGCCTCAGGAGAGAACGTGACCCTGCTGTGTCAGTCACGGGGTTATTTTGACACTTTCCTTCTGACCAAAGAAGGGGCAGCCCATCCCCCACTGCGTCTGAGATCAATGTACGGAGCTCATAAGTACCAGGCTGAATTCCCCATGAGTCCTGTGACCTCAGCCCACGCGGGGACCTACAGGTGCTACGGCTCACGCAGCTCCAACCCCCACCTGCTGTCTCACCCCAGTGAGCCCCTGGAGCTCATGGTCTCAGGTGAGGGCCCCGACCCTGTCTTCTCTGAGCTCAAAGGCTCAGCTCCGGCCCAGGCCCCCAGGAGAGCTCTCGGCTGGGATGGACCGAGGGAGGCTGTGAGGGAGGCTTAGCCAGAGGGCACCCAGCCCTCAGAGGGGAGGAGGCCAACAGGGGTTCTCCTAGGCGTGGCCACCCGTTCTCCCCTGCCTGGCATGCAGAAGGCACCAGGTGGGCAGAGAGATGGTTCCAGGGAATCCACTGGGCGGAAGCAGGAGAGTGGGAGTGGAAGGGTGCACTCCATGGACGGCCCCCGCCCCTCACCCGCCTCCCGTGCTCCTTCCAGGACCCTCTGGAGGCTCCAGCCTCCCACCCACAGGGCCGCCCTCCACACCTGGTGAGTCACTGAGGCCTCGTGGGGAGCGCGGCCTCCCCCAGGGCAGTCTGAGTCTCCCAAAGGATCCCACTCCCCTCCCCTCAAGGACGGGCTTGTGTCCCAGGGGCTCTGAGGCTGGGCTGGTGAAGAGTGGGGGGTTCAAGGCAGAGAGAGATGTTGGGGCCCAGCCAGGAGGAGGAGCCGGGCTGATGTGGGGAGCAAGGTAGCCCCAGGCTTCACCTCCCTGTCCTGACCCAGGAGGTCCTGAGGACCAGCCCCTCAACCCCCCAGGGTCAGGCCAGTGACTCCCTGGAGCTCGTGGTCTCAGGTGAGGGCCCTGACCCTGTCCTCTCTGAGCTCAAATGCTCAGCTCAGGCTCTGCACCCAGGAGAGCTCTGGGACACTAGGAAAGAAGGGAGTGAAGGTGGAGAATCCAGCCCATGGGAGGGAGGAAATGGCTCAGGAGCAGCGTTGAAATTCATAGAACACAGGAAAACTGAAATAGTTTCATGAGGAGACTGGAGGGAGCCCTGCTGCAGGAGAGGGAGGGTTTATTGAGGAACTCCGTAAAAGCCACGTCGTGAGGCCTGGAAGAATAAGAACGCAGAGCCCAGGGGAGAGGCTGGCTCAGGGTTCTCCCCTTCTGTTTTGATTCTCAGGAGGAGCTGAGACCCTCACCCCATCACAAAACAAGTCAGACAGTTATGGGGCGGGCACAGAGGGTCAGGTTCTGTCAATGGCAGATGGGGGGTGCCCTGGGTTGGGCATCCAGGGGTCCTGGGTGAAGTTGATCTGCCCGGACCTCTGTGACCTCTTTGCCCACCATCCCCAGCCTCACACGCCAAGGATTACACAGTGGAGAATCTCATCCGCATGGGCATGGCAGGCTTGGTCCTGGTGTTCCTCGGGATTCTGTTATTTGAGGCTCAGCACAGCCAGAGAAACCCCCAAGATGCAGCCGGGAGGTGAACAGCGGAGAGGACAATGCACCCTTCAGCGTGGTGGAGCCTCAGGGACAGATCTGATGATCCCAGAAGGCTCTGGAGGACAATCTAGGACCTCCAGAGGGGGGTGAGATTTCAGGCCACACACTGTGGAAGGTAATCATGTCTGATCACAAATTTTGGGTCTCCACCTTACTTCCAATCTATGTTGTGAATGCCCAGTTGAGACCCACGGAAAAGAGCTCATGGGTGAGTGTGAAGTGCTTCTCTGTCTTAAGTTCCCAGAGATCCTTGCCTCTTGGAGGCCAGCAAACACTAACTCTTGAGGAATTCATGACAATATCATCTGATTCCTCCTTCCCAGCTTGTATGGCAGTCTCCCACCCTCATGTGTTCAATCTGATGATCCCAGGAGGTTCTGGAACAAAATCTACAGCCTATGCTTTCTGGACTATCTGTCGATCATTCCTGAAGAGAGGGATCAATGTTGAGGTATTCATTTCACATGATGAAAATGACAATATCAAATGTCAGAGGTAGTAGGGCTCACGTAGAAATCCAATACATCCATGGTAGGACTGCAAATTACTTGAATCAATTTGGGGAAAATATCAGAAGTACCCAGTGAAAAAGAAGAAACATGGCCGGGCGCGGTGGCTCATGCCTGTAATCCCAGCACTTTGGGAGGCTGAGGCGGGCGGACACGAGTTCAGGAATTCGAGTCCAGCTTGGCCAACATAGTGAAACCCCGTCTCTACTAAAAATACAAAACATTAGCTGGGCGTGGTGGCAGGTGCCTGTAATTTCAGCTACTCAGGAGGCTGAGGCAGGAGAATTGCTTGAACCTGGGAGACGGAAGCAAGTTGGCGCCAGTTGGTGCAGTGAGCCAAGATGGCATTGCACTCTGGCCCAGGTGACAGTACGAGACTTCATCTAAAAAAAAAAGAAAAAAAAAAAGAAGAGACACACAGCTATGAACACAGAGCACAGAACCTAGAGGAAAATGTGTTCATATGGTGAGGTTTCATTCACAACAACATGGACAGGACTGCTGCTCATATTACACAACAGCCATAAAACCCAAAAATACATCTAAAACAAAGGAAACATATGTGGTTCAATTCCACCAAGGGATACTATGGGGCCGTGCAGAGGCACAGACAAAATCTACAAAGAGCAATGCAAACCAACCTTCCATCATGATGTTGAGTAAAGAAACAAGAGTATAAAAAGAAGGTGTGCACATGAAGCTCAAAAAGAGGCAGCATTTATTTTCTAGGGAGGCAAACTCAAAATAGACCCCATAAATAAAGGAAATAGATTATGTAATCCAAAATAGTGCTTGCACATCAGGAAATACTGGAGGGTTCTGTTCAACATGGAAACTCCAAGGACCACTGGACGCGGGCACTGGAATGCTGACTTTGATTTGGTGACCCTCAATCCACTTCGAGTTATTGGTAAATCACATAATTTTAATTTGATACGGAATAATCATACATGTTTCTTGGGAGCATGTGGTAATCTGATTCATCCATGCAATGTGTAACGATCCAATAAAGGTTCCCAGGACATTCATCACCCTGAACATTTGTTATTATGGTTATTATTTTGAGACAGAGTCTTGCACTGTCGCCCAGCTGGCGTGCAGTGGCAGGATCTTGGCTCACTGCAAACTCTGCCTCCCGGGTTCAAGCAGTTTTCCTGTCTCAGCCTCCTGAGTAGCTAGGATTACAGGCATGCACCATCACACCTCGCTAATTTTTGTATTTTTATTACAGACGGGGTTTCACCATGTTGCTCTGGCTGGTCTCAAACTCCTGACCTAAGGTGATCCACCAGCGTCGGCTTTCCATAGTGCTGGGATTACAGGTGTAAGCCACTATGCCTGGCCAACTTTTATAATTTCTGTGCTGGGAACATTCCAAATCTTCATTTCTCACTCATGTGGAAAATACAATAATCTGTTGCTAACTATGGTCACCCTACTGAGCTCTCAGGCCCTGGAACTTACTCCTTCTCTCCACCTGTATTTCTGCACCCGTCCACCAACCTCTCTCCATCCCTGTCCTCCACACTCCCTTGCCAGCCTCTGTTGACAACCATTCTACTCTCTGCCATCACAAGGCCCACTTTTGTAGCTTCCGCGTGAGTGAGAACATGCTCCTCTTTCTGGGCCTGGCTTATTTCACTGAACATAATGTCTTCCAGATTCATCTGTGTTGCTGAACATGGTACAATTTCCTTCTTTTTATGCCTGAATATTATTTCATTGTGTATATAGACCACATGTTCCTTATCCATTCATCCATTGATGGACATAGGTTGATTCCATATCTTGGCTATTGTGAATACTGCTGCAATAAACATGGCAATGCAGACACCTCTTTGATATACTGATTTTCTTTCTTTTGGAAATATACCCATCTGTGCGATTACTGGATGGTGTGGTTGTTCTACTTTCAGTTTCTTGAGGAACCTCCATGCTGTTTTCCATATTGGCTGCACCAACTTGCGTTCCCACCAAGGTAGAAGGGTTTCTTTTCTCCATATCCTTGACAGCATCTGTTAATTTTTGTCTTAGAGATAACAGCCATTTTAACCAGGGAATAGCATATCTCTGTTTTTGTACCTATCTATCTTTATTTGTCATGCCATTTAGGGAGCTGAGATTGAAGTGTGGTGGTGAATGCCACAGGCTGCACTGGCCACTAAATGGCAAACCAGGTGGTTCTTGACCTGTCAGAGCAATGATCTCACAGGTTGACTTTGTGTTTCATTCACAACATGACACCCACCTGCCTGATCAACCTCACCTGAGTCCAGGCAGACAATGAGCCACTTACCCAGGTAAGAATGGGCCTCAGAAAGGGAAACACCTTGTCCAGTACTTCATGACATGCACTTGACATTTTTAAGTGGCCATATAACTTTCTGATTTCATTATGTTGAAACCACCAGAACTGGGATGAAGGACACCAACATGGCCTTGGGGTTATTTCAGACATGAGGTTCAACCCAATCAGGTGGTGGTTTAGGATGATCACACAGGGCTTGGTTATTCCAGAGATGAGGTTCCATCCAATCAGGCGGTGGTTTAGGGATCACACAGGGCTTGGTTATTCCAGAAATGAGGTTCCACCCAATCAGGTGGTGGTTTAGGGATCACACAGGGCTTGGTTATTTCAGAGATGAGGCTCAACCCAATCAGGTGGTGTTTTAGGGATCACACTGGGATTGGTACCAAATGTGACAATGCTCCATGTGCCTGATCACCTCCTGGACCCCTCTGAGGTGGAAATCAGAGAAAGGCATTTGTGTGCAGCTGCTGTTCATTCCGGATTCCTTTCCTACATGGGAACTTACATGATGCTTGACCCTGAAGAACAGAACTGGCTGAAAAAGAATTCAGGAATGAAATCCCATTTATAATAGCCACAAACAATAAAAGACCTGCTAATAAATTTAACTGACAAGGTAAAAACCTCTACAAATAAAATTATAAAGCTCTAAGAAAAATTAAAGAGGACACGAAAAAACTGGAAAGATACCTCATGTTCACACATTGAAACAATAAATGTTTACAAAAAGGACCATAGGACCCAAAGCTATCTACAGATTCATTGTAATTCCTATCAACATACAAGTGTCTTTCTTCACTGAAATATAAAAAATTCTAAAATTAATATAGAGCCATAAAATACCCAAAATAGCCAACGCAATGTAGAGAAAAAAAAACAAAGCTGGAGACATCACACTACCTGACTTCAAAATACACTACAAAGCTATAGTAACCAAAACAGTAAGGCACTGGCTTAAAAACAAACACATAGACAAATGGAACAGAACAAAGAACCTAGAAATAAATCCACAAATTGACAGCCAACTGATTATCAACAAACATGCCAAGAACATATATTGGGTAAAGGACAGTTTCTTCAATAAATGCTGCTAGCAAAACTGCATATCCATATGCAAAAAAACAAAACTCAACCTCTGTCTCTCACGATATACAAAAATCTACTCAAGACAGAATAAGACCCAAAGTAAGACCTGAAACTATGAAACTATAGAAGAAAACACAGAGGAAACGCTTCAAGACATTGGTCTAAGCAAACATTCTATCAGTAAGACCTCAAAAGCATAGGAAACGAATTCAAAAATAGACAAATGGGTGTATCAAACTAAAAAGCTTCTGCAGAGCTCAGGAAACAACCAACAGTGTTATGACCTACAGAGGCAGGGAGAAACATTTGTTACCTATTCCTCTAACAAGGGTTTGATCATCAGAATATATGAGGAACTCAAACAGCTCAGAGCCTTTGATGGAGAAATGAAGAGGTGCTGCTACGTAGAGAAATAAAGAAGTCAGAGGGAGGAAGTTTGGGAGGAACAAACCATGCTTTCCAGGTATTGGGAGGCTCTGTTTCTCTCTCTGACTTAGTTAACTGTTTTTAATACATCTCCTTCAGTCTGCTTCCCACATGGGGTCATTGCTCCTGTGATGGCCCTATTGGTTCCTCTTGTCAACCAAGTCAGAGAATGGAAGAGCTTTCATTCCCTGAGCATCTTCTTCTTCACACACAATGAACAAATCCACACCATTCTACCACAGAGTCCTTTTTATCAATGTCTCCTGTCCAACGCTACAGTCCAAGCTCAGCTGGTTTCCTCAGCTCAGCACTTCATGGATTATGACAGCATAACTCCAATCCCTGCCTCTATCTCTGGGCTGGTTTCCCATTATTACTGCAGAAGCCCCCATTCTGTGTGAACAGACACAGTGACACACCAGACACCCCCTCCAGCCTGGCCCCTGGAGGATCTGAATGGAGATTGGGACTCCGCAGGGTTGCCCAGGAACGTGGTTTCACACATTCTCCTGTAGGAAATCCATAACCACTATCACCACGTGGTCATTTCCAGCATCTTGGGATGTAGAGGATGCCGGCTGGTCCCTGCAGTGGCAGATCCTGTGGCAACTCTGGAAATCCTGTGAAGAACTTACGGAGGCCCTGTGAAGATCCTATGGAGATCCAGTCGAGGTCCTATGAAGATCCACGGAGAACCTATGGATGTCCTGCAAAGGTCCTATGGAGAATCTATTGAGATTCTATGGAGGTCCTGTGGGGGTTCTATTGAGATCCTATGGAGGTCCTGTGGGGGTTCTATTGAGATCCTATGGAGGTCCTGTGAGGGTTCTATTGAGATCCTATGGAGGTCCTGTGGGGGTTCTATTGAGATCCTATGGAGGTCCTGTGGGGGTTCTATTGAGATTCTATGGAGGTCCTGTGGATGTCCTATTGAGATCCTATGGAGGTCCTGTGGGGGTTCTATTGAGATCCTATGGAGGTCCTGTGGGGGTTCTATTGAGATCCTATGGAGGTCCTGTGGGGGTTCTACTGAGATCCTATGGAGGTCCTGTGAGGGTTCTATTGAGATCCTATGGAGGTCCTGTGGGGGTTCTACTGAGATCCTATGGAGGTCCTGTGAGGGTTCTATTGAGATCCTATGGAGGTCCTGTGGGGGTTCTATTGAGATCCTATGGAGGTCCTGTGGGGGTTCTACTGAGATCCTATGGAGGTCCTGTGAGGGTTCTATTGAGATCCTATAGAGGTCTTGTGGGGGTTCTATTGAGATCCTATGGAGGTCCTGTGGAGGTTCTATGGACAACCTATGGAGAACCTGTGGAGAACCTATTGAGATCTTATGGAGGTCCTGTGGAGGGCCCATGGAGATTCTATAGAGATCTTGCTGATCCTATGGAGATTCGAGCACTTTTCCATGCATGAGGTTGGGAAATAGACGTGGGGTTTCAGGATAGGAAGTCTAAGGCCAGCACTATGTTTTCGTAGGAAACTCAAAGTAAATAGTTTCATGTTCCAGAAGAAGCCCAAATTGAGATATATCTGGGGACCTAAGACAGAGGGGTGCTGTGCACTCACCCAAAGGCTCTTTTTCTTGGGTCTCAACCGTGCATTCACAAAACTGATTTGGAGCAAGATGGAGACCCCACATTAGTGATCAGACAGAAAGAGCTTCCACTGTGCATGGCCTGAAATCTCATTTCCCACCCAGGTGTTTCTCTCACATGGAGGAAAAGACATAAGCCATTGGAAGAGGCTCAGATAATTCTGCCCACCTCAGATCCCAGGTAATGACTCATTGTGGCCGGAAGAAGGTGGATCATAAAATCCCTCTACCCTAGGAGGAGTGCAGAGAACAATCCTGGACTGTGATCCTAGACAAATACCATTAGAGATATGCAAATTTGGAATAGGGACAGAAAACCCGTCCCCATCAAACAAACCTACTCAATACAATGCAGCTGCCATGAGGAGCGGGGACAGAAACACGGAGACAAACCCACCCTCAAGGCCCAGGCACACAGAAACTGCCGGAGACTGAGGCTGGAGGAGGACAGGAGAAACGTCTGCTCTCGACCAGGAGCTTCTCCTGAGAAGCTAGCAGGAGCGCCCACAGCTGGGGTTAGGAGACCTAAGGATCCGCTGATGACTGGGTTAATGCCGTGAGCTTCAGCCAGCTCTGTGTCAGCAGCCCCAGTGCGTGCTGGAGGGGCCCGTGAGTGTCGTGGCCATGGAGCAAGAAAAAAAGGACATGCTGCCAGGCGCAGTGACTCACGCCTGTATTCCCAGCACTTTGGGAGGCCGAGTTGGGCAGATTATCTGACGTCAGGAGTTCAAGACCAGCCTGGCCAATATGGCGAAACCCCGTCCCTACTGCAAATACAAAAACTAGCCAGGTGTGGTGGAAGGTGCCTGTAATCCCAGCTACTCGGGAGGCTGAGGCAGGAGAATCAGGGGACAGAGGTTGCAGTGAGCCGAGATCGCGCCACTGCACTCCAGCCTGGGCGACAGAGTGAGACTCCGTCTCTAAATAAAATAAAATAAAAGAATCAAAGAAAAAAGGACATGCATGGAACCAACACCAGCGACTCCCTCTTACCAAGGACCAAGCAGCCACCACTGTCGCTGAGAGTCTCACCTGTGACCAGCAGAGCGCTCTGGATGTGATGCCTTTGAGTGGACCAGCGAGCGAGTCATCTGGTGGCCGCTTGACGACATGGCGCGCATTCCACCAGGAGGGGGCAGCAAATCCTCCTGACCGGGCTGGATGCTGGCGCTCAGATGGGTTCTGCTGGGCTCACTGTGGCTCTCCGCCAGGAATCAGAGGCTCCCGCCTGTTTAAATGGAGCATCTCATGACTTAATCTCAGATCGAGGGACCTGCACGCCCATGAAATCAGTGGGGCAATGAGAACAGGGCCACGTGATATCCTGGGGATGATCTGAGATAGGATGCGTGCCATGTAGTGGTTGGGTGCTGCTGGGGCTGACAGAGCATCGGAATGGCCTCTTACAGTAGATGCAAGAAACAGTTTGTGGATGAGACTCTGCACTTTAGGTGCTCTCTGATGGTGTAACAGACATAGATATAAAACAGAGATATAGATAGCTGTAGACAATATACATATTCATATGAATGAACACTAAATGATGCTATGTCTTTTCCTTCTAATATTTTTGTTCTTATTTTTCTATAATGGGCTCTGCAAATGAAAATGCTATGTCTTTTCAGAGGTAGAACACACGGGCTGGGAAAGGAAAGGAGCGTGTCATCAACAGCCCCCATCACCACCCCTCCAGGTGACTCACTGGGCAGATAAGCACGTCCTGGGCCTGCACTTTTAGGTGATTTGGGGTTAGACGATCTGCCTGGTGGGAAATTACTACCAGGGAAGAAACTAAGGGTTACCCTACGCCAAAAATGATCACTTTGCCCTTTTCTCTTTTTTTTGGCTAACTTTAGGATATCTATTTTGTAAAAAATTAGTTGCTTTTTATACAACTTTACAAAGTTTTTAATGTTTCTTTGGCATTGGAATATAATGGAATTTTACAACTGTATAAAAAAGTTACGTTTGCCTAAGAAACAGTATTTACCGTGTGTACCTAGTTGACTGACAAAATTCTCTACCATCCAGCACCCTAATTAATTGATGAAATAGACTATTTAATATTACAAGATTCCCCAAAAGAAAGGAGGAGAAAGATACACACACACACACACACACACACATACACACACACACACACCCTCCCTTCTTGGCTCAGAACACAGTATCACGGCCCTATCTGCAGGCAACCTGGAATTACCAAATACAATTCAGTGATTAAAAAAAAAAAAAAAAAAACCTTTCAGTGATGACACAATACTTATAAGTCCCACTGAAGTACTGCTTTAGTTTAACTATACATAAGAAATTATTTAACCTTCTGCTATTCCAAATATATTTAATCCTCATGTCTTAAGATAAGGCTTCCTCCCCCGAAAACTAACTGCATTTTATCTCTGAAATTAAACAGAAAAACAAACAAAAAACAAAAACCCAGTGCTGATGGCAAACATACAGCCAATTCACTTCTTCGTTCTTCGCAAAGACTGAAATCAGTTTCCAGTACCATGAAGAGCTAGAAATTCACCTGTTTTCAAAGACTTGTTTGTAGACTATGCAGCAGCTTTGTTGTCTTTCTTTCAGAGAGCAGTACTATCAATTCAGACTATTTAGGGGCCAAAGGCTGTGCTTTTCCTATATTCAAAATCTGCAAACTCCCGACCCCTGGAACCTCCTCTGAATCCGCCGCGAAATCCTCAAGGGGTGGTCAAGGTACCACTTCTGCCACCACGCCCTCTGCCACCATGGAAACCAAGACCTCCCTCTGCCTCTGTATCCCCCATGGCCACGGTTTGGACAAAGTGGGATTCCAAATGTTTCAGCATTTAATCTTCTTCCTTCAGCCCAGGTTGGCCTCCGTTCTCTATTGTCATCACCAGAAATATTATCAAAGGAGGATTTAGTTTGGTCATAAAAGCAATTAGGTCCAAGTGCATCTTCTTCATCAGCATGTCCTTCACTGTTTTGGGTATCAACTCCTGAGTCTCCTTTATCTTCACCATTTACAGGCTTCTCCTCTTTCTCAAGTTTATCTTCTTTTAATTTAAGTTTATTATGAAACTCTCTGCCCATCTCTTCCTTGTTGAATTGGGCATTTGCACTTTCAAAGTCAAACTCTTTCTCTCACGCCTGTAATCCCAGCAATTTGGGAGGCCGAGGCGGGCGGATCACGAGGTCAGGAGATCGAGATCACGGTGAAACCCCGTCTCTACTGAAAATACAAAAAAATTAGCCTGACGTGGTGGCGGGCGCCTGTAGTCCCAGCTACTGGGGAGGCTGAGGCAGGAGAATGGCGTGAACCCGGGAGGCGGAGCTTGCAGTGAGCCGAGATCGGGCCACTGCACCCCAGCCTGAGCGACCGAGCGAGAGTCCGTCTCCAAAAAAAAAAAAAAAAATTCTCAAATTTCATTGGCCCATCTCGCCGAATACCAAATCTTCCCCTGCCACCCCATGACCCCCACGCCCTCTCCTTGGCGCTGAAGGAGCACCTGGAGCTGCTTGTCTCTTGTTTCATTTCTGAGTTGCTCATTTTCTGGCCTTGGAACGTTGTGCGCTTCAGCTCACCTCTGCTCCTGATTCTCTATTGCTTTTTGGCTGGTAGATGGCAAAGGCCTGGTTGATACAGGACTCCTTCTCCCAACAGGTGCTGGAGCAGGTCCGTGGGCCCAGGCGGTCTGCACTCCTTGTTCCATGGTTGGGCTTCTTCTCAAAGGGTCGAACTGAGCGCTTGAAGGACCTTGAGATAATTGTGTTTTTAGGGATCTTGTATCCTGTGTAAAGGCAGAATCAACCACTCTACTTTGGGGCAAGCTACCACTGTTTGATATTTCTGTTCCAAAGGAGGTCAAAGAGCTTCCAGCAACACCAACAGCACCAAACTGCTGCCCCACTAAGGAACTTGGACTGAACTGGCTGGATGTGTCCATAAGAACCCATGGACTGGAATGAAGAAGTCGATGAGCCTAGTGAGAACTGAATGATAGCTAGAGTTTCCATGTCATTCTTACTTTCTCAAATATTTGGTAGAAATCAACAGTGTACCCATTTAGGCCAGATTTCCCTATGGAAAGATTTCTGAGTGTAGGTTGAATTTCTTTTCTTTTTTTTTTTTTTTTTTTCAGAGTCTCCCTCTGTCGCCTAGGCTGGAATGCAGTGGTGTGATCTCACCTCACTGCAACCTCCGCCTCCTGGGTTCAAACAGATCTCTTGCCTCACCCTCCTGAGTAGCTGGGATTACAGGCATGCGCCACCTCACTTGGCTAATTTTTGTATTGTTAGTAGAGGTGGGATTTCACCATGTCGGCCAGACAGGTCTTGAATTCCTGACCTCAGGTAATCTGCCCGCCTCAGCCTCCCAAGGTGCTGGAATTAAAGGTGTGAGCCACCAATCCCAGCCAGTTGAATTTCTTTAATAAAAATAGGAAATGTTACACTATATATTTGTTCTTGAGTAAATTTTGGTAGTTTGTATACTTCAAGATATTTTCTATTAAATGTGAGTTGTAAAACATCTTAGCATAGATTCCTAGTTTTGCTTCACTAGTCCTTTTATGTCTGTAGGATGGGTAGTGGTGCCTCTTTCCATCTTGATTTGGTAATTGTTGTGCTCCCTCTCTCTCTCTCACTCTCTTACTTTACATCCTACAAACGTTCATATGTTATAATTTCATTGACATTTTTCGTTAATGTTCTATCAATTTAATGTTGTGTGATTCTATAACCCATGAATATTTGTTTTTGCTTTTGCGATGGAGTCTTACTCTCTCACCCAGGCTGGAGTGCAGTGGCACAATCTCGGCTCACTGCAACTTCCACCTCCTGGGTTCAAGTGAATCTCCCGTCTCAGCCTCCCGAGTCATTCAAAATACAGGTGCATGCCACCACACCCAGCTAATTTTTGCATTCTCAGTAGAGACAGCATTTCACCATGTTGGCCAGGCTGGTCTCAAAGTCCTGACCTCAAGTGATCCACCTGCCTCAGCCTCCCAAAGTGCTGGGATTACAGGCATGAGCCACCACATCCAGCCTATAACCCATGAATATTTAGAATGTTATTTGTTTCCAAAGTATTGCTTTTTCTCTAAATGTCTTCTTATTGTTGGCTGCTAATTTAATTGAACTTCTAATCAGGAAACGTTACCTGTAGTAACAGTTTGGATGCTTACTTTGCTGTGTAAAAATGATAGAGACGGCTGGGCACAGTGGCTCTCACCTGTAATCCCACCACTTTGGGAAGCTAAGGCGGGTAGATCAAGAAGTCAGGAGACCGAGACCATCTGGGCCAATATGGTGAAATCCCGTCTCTACTAAAAATACAAAAAAATTAGCTGGGTGTGGCGGCGCACGCCTGTAATTCTAGCTACTCACAAGCCTGAGGCAGGAGAATCGCTTGAACCCGGAAGGTGGAGATTGCCGTGAGCCGAGTTCGTGCCACTGCACTCCAGCCTGGCGACAGAGCTACACTTCGTTTCAAAAAAAAAAAAAAGATAGATATTTCTGATCAATATGTTTTCATAAATAAGTATTCCTGGCCTCGCACAGTGGCTCACACCAGTAATCCCAACACTTTGGAAGGCCAAGGTGGGCAGATCCCGTGAGCCCAGGAGTTTGACACCAGCCTGGGCAACATAGCGAAACCTCGTCTCTACAAAAAAATACATATTAAAAAAATTTAGCCAGGCAAGGTGGCATGATCCTGTAGTCCCAGCTACTCAGGAAATGGTTGTGGCAGAATCACCTAGGCCTCAGGAGGTCGAGGCTGCAGTGAGCTGGGATAGTGCCATTGTACTTCAGATGGAGCAACAGAGAGAGACCTTGTTTCAAAAAAATATATATAAAGAAATATGCATTCCCACTTTGTTGCTATATGTATATTCCAGAAACGTTTCTATACAAATTTACATAATATATAAACAATCGAAACATCATATTTGCGCATGAGATTGAACATTTGTGCCATGCAACCCTCACGAATATTTTGTTCACTTAATCTATCAAAGTCTGATCAATATTTCTTCAAATCCTCCACTGTGTCTCAATTGATGCTTTGTAAATTTTAAGGACATGTGGTTGGTTGAGTGAAAGTGTATAACTTTCTCTTCTTCACAGATTGCTGATTTAAAAGTATGAAATATCCGGGCGTGGTGGCTCACGCCTGTAATCGCAGCACTTTGGGAGGCCGAGGCAGGCGGATCACGAGGTCAGGAGATCGAGACCACGGTGAAACCCCGTCTCTACTAAAAATAGTAAAAAATTAGCCGGGCGTGGTGGCGGACGCCTGTAGTCCCAGCTACTCGGGAGGCTGAGCCAGGAGAATGGTGTGAACCCGGCAGGCGGAGCTTGCAGTGAGCCGAGATCGCGCCACTGCACTCCAGCCTGGGTGACAGAGCGAGGCTCCGTCTCAAAATAAAATAAAATAAATAAATAAATAAATAAAAGTGTGAAATATCATCTATTTTTCTTTTCAAAGGCTGTTTGTGTTAGTATTGGTTTGCTATTGCTGCCATAACAAATTACACGTATTGAGCAGCTTCAGCAACACAAACTCATTATCTCACAGTCTTTTAGGACAAAATCAAGGCCATAACGTGGCTGCATTCCTTTCTGGAGGCTCCAGAGACGCGAATCCATTTCCTTGCTCTTTCAGATTCTTAGTAGAAATGCATATACTTGTATATACACAGATTACAGATAGATCTATGCTTATTCGTTTTTTGTATGTACTGTTGACTTATTCACAGTAGCATCTCATCTTCTCCATTTGGGGTTCATTATTCCACTCCCTGATTTACATTGTTTAGTATTGCTTTCAGAAAGAGCCCAGATGCAAACATGTCTGCAGCCTTGCAGCTCAAGCGATGCCTGCTTCTCTGTCTCTGTCTCTCTCCGTGTGTGTGTGTGTGTGTCTCCCTCTCCCTCTCTCTCTCTGTCTCAATCTCTCTCTGTCTCTCCGTCTCTCTCTGTCTGTCTCAATCTCTCTCTTTCTCTGTTGTTATCATAGTACCTGATAAAAGGACACTGAAAACGCCCTCCTTATTCCTCATAAGGCCACCGCCTGACCTGACGGGTCACGAGTGCCCCGAGTCTCCTTATGTTCTAGGATTTATCCACAGCTGACACTGCAACTCGGTCCTTTAATAATAACTAGGCCAGGTTGCGGTGAGCCGAGATCGCGCCATTGCACTCCAGCCTGGGCAACAAGAGCGAAATTGCATCTCAAAAGATAATAATAATAATAATAATAAATAATTATAATAGTAATAATTAGGCCCAGCACAGGAACTCTCTCCTCACAGTTAAACGCTTGTGGTTGTTTCTCCTGTATCTTCTGGGGCTGCTGTTTGCTCTTTGGAACTCCAGTCCCGATGAACTTGTCATTCATTCAAGGGTAATTTACATTTTCTCTGGTAGTTTTATGATTATTTTAAATTAATGCCTCATGGTTTTCACTTTACCATGATCGAGATATTCAATTTAGTTATAAACTGATGTTTTCTCTTCAGTTCTGTAAAAATTTCAACCATTAGCTCTTCATGCATATCATGAACTAACATCCTTCTTCCTTCTTTCATTCTGAAACCGTGACAGACACGTTCTTTCTTCTCATTCAACTTCGTGTATATATCAATATTTTCTATTGTTCAATTTCTGTTCTTTCCATGATACAGTCTGGAAAATTTCATGAATATTTTATCCCAATGTATATATTTATTATTTCAGCTGTCTTGCCCTGGATTAAATTATGCTTTGATTTTGTTATGTTTGCATAGTAGGTATATATGGTTAGTAAATTGCTTTTTTTTTTGAGACACAGTTTCGCTCCTGTTGTCCCAGCTGAAGTACAGGGGCGCAATCTCAGCACACAGCAGCCTCCATCTTCCAGGTTCAAGAGATTCTCCTGCCTCAGCCTCCCGAGTAGCTGGGATTACAGGCACTCACCACCACGCCCAGATAATTTTTTGTATTTTTAGTAGAGATGGGGTTTCACCATGTCACCCAGGCTGGTCTCGAACTCCTAGCCTCAAGTGATCTGCCCGCCTCCACCTCCCAAAGTGCTGGGATTACAGGCATGAACTACCATGCCCAGACATAAATTCCTTTTTAATGGCGTTAATTTAATATAGTTTTTCACCTTCACGATGTCTGTCTAATGCATTTCAACAACTGTCTATTTTGTCCTCATACGGTTGTCATTCCTGTGGGGCGGCTCCTCCCACGCACCTGGCCTTTCATAAAGGGTTTCTCCCACGGCTGTCCAGGCATCAGCCTGATGAAGGGGATTGTTGCCGCTGCTCCTGCCCCACTCCCCCAAACTCAGTGTCAGCTCAAGATTGTGCCCAGCAGCGATGGGACCAACGCCAGCCTCACACTCACCTGTGGGGCAGACGCCCATGTCTGACCACCGTGGATCGAATCTGTTTCTCACACACAGGGGAGGGGCTGAGCGCTGACCGTGGCCTCCAGTGAGTGAGCAGAGACCCCCCAGCGCCTGTCCACACACACAGGGGAGGGGGAGCCACCGCTTCCAGCCTCACCCAGAGCCCTGACCCCTCCCTGCCTGGGAGGACGTGGGGTTCCTCTTCTGTCCCACATGGAGGTGGGAGCCTCCTCCTCCCTAATGACGCTCGGTGGTCCCAGACACCTGTGGCCACTCAGCATTGAACTCTGCTCATGGAAGGGGATGCGTCTCAATGTGAGGAACTGTTTTTCCTCTTTCTCTGCCTGTGGCTGTGATGATCTGCATATTTCAGACGTATCACAAGGAGAATTTCATGGTATTTGGAGCCGATGTGGGCTCTTGAGTGGGGGCGTCAATCATCCTCCTCGACTGTGGAGCCCAGCACCAGGATCCTCTCCCGTCCCCACCCTCCTGTCTGAACTGGTCTGGAAATTCACCATGGCTGAGCCTCCCATGTCCTGGGCACCACTGACCCCCACAGCCACTGTGATGAGTGGGGTTCATGACAGCAGGCTCAGAGGTGACATTCATGTCCAAAGTCACATAAACCCTAGATGATAATCAGGAATTAAATACAAATCAGCTCACCTTCCCCAGAATCAGATTATAGATTACAATGAAACATATATATATATATTTCTCTTTATCCCCTCTATTTCTCCTTTTTAGACAGGATCTTGCTCTGTCGCCCAGGCTGGAAGGCCAAGGGGTGATCATAGCTCCCTGAAGCCTCCGCCTCCCGGGCCCAAGTGATCCTCCCACCTCAGCCTCCTGAGTAGCTGGGACCACAGGCATGAGCCTCCATGCCCAGCTCACTTTTTTCTTTTCTGTAGAAACAGGGTCACAGTCTGTTTCCCAGGACTGTCTGAAGCTCCTGGCCTCAAGCCATCACCCGCCACAGCCTCCTGAAGTACTGGGATTCCAGGCATGAGCCACCACGGTAGACCCTGCATTTCTCTGTGCTCACTGCCACACGCAGCTCAGCCTGGACTACACAGCCAGGTGTCAGGTGCGTCTCTGCTGATCTGAGTCTGCCTGCAGCATGGACCTGGGTCTTCCCTGAAGCATCTCCAGGGCTGGAGAGACGACTGCCATGGTAAGGACCCCGTAACGCTGAACTGATGGACGAGCTGAAGGAGGGAGGGAGACCCCATGGGGAGGCTCTGAGAGGGAGGAGGAGCCCACGGTCACCCTCGCCTGAAAGGGGCTGACTCAGGAAGGCACCAGGTCTATTTGCGGCTGTGTCCCCGTCCTCAGTGAGATAAAGATAAATCAGGCAGACAGTGGCCCGGGGGCAGGGAGACCCCATTTCTCTCTGAAATGCCTGCAGAGAGCCTGGTGCCTGCCCCCACTTCAGCCCTGGGGAAATCAGAGCCAGGTTCTTGGGGTGGCAGTTCCTCTTCCTGTGGGCTGAGGATGAGACAACCCCATGACAAGAAGGACCCAGCCTCCGAGCGGCCACACCCTGTGTGTCTCTCTGTCCTGCCAGCACTGAGGGCTCATCCCTCTGCAGAGCGCCGGGTCACCGGGAGGAGACGCCATGACGCCCGCCCTCACAGCCCTGCTCTGCCTTGGTGAGATTTCAAGATGGGGAGGGGGAGATCCGAGTCTTGGAGGAACCCCACCCCACACACAAGCCCTGGTCCATCAGGAGACCTCAAAAGCTCAGGAGGCACCCGGGCGGGGACCTGCTCAGGCTTCAGGGCAAATGCCTCACAGGGAACTCTCTTCCAGGGCTGAGTCTGGGCCCCAGGACCCGCATGCAGGCAGGTGAGTCTGTCCCCAGCTGTCCCAGGTCCCTACTCCTCACTGGGACAGGGGGCCACCCATGGGCAGCTGGGGGAGGAGACAGTAGTTCTGGGTGACTGATGGGGATGATGGGGAAGTCCTGGGGCTGGGAGCTGGGATCTGAGCGTGGGGATGTCTTGGGATCCAGCCTCTGATTTCCATCTAGGGCCCTTCCCCAAACCCACCCTCTGGGCTGAGCCAGGCTCTGTGATCAGCTGGGGGAGCCCCGTGACCATCTGGTGTCAAGGGAGCCTGGAGGCCCAGGAGTACCAACTGGATAAAGAGGGAAGCCCAGAGCCCTGGGACAGAAATAACCCACTGGAACCCAAGAACAAGGCCAGATTCTCCATCCCATCCATGACACAGCACCATGCAGGGAGATACCGCTGCCACTATTACAGCTCTGCAGGCTGGTCAGAGCCCAGCGACCCCCTGGAGCTGGTGATGACAGGTGAGAGGACACTCTGGGGTCCCAGCCCCAGGCTCTGCCCTCAGGAAGGGGGTCGGCTCTCAGGGGCGTCTCCCTCTCACAGCCCAGCCCTGGGGATGATGTGGGAGGTGGGAGCCCCATTTAACACGGTGCCTCTTTCTCTCCTAGGATTCTACAACAAACCCACCCTCTCAGCCCTGCCCAGCCCTGTGGTGGCCTCAGGGGGGAATATGACCCTCCGATGTGGCTCACAGAAGGGATATCACCATTTTGTTCTGATGAAGGAAGGAGAACACCAGCTCCCCCGGACCCTGGACTCACAGCAGCTCCACAGTGGGGGGTTCCAGGCCCTGTTCCCTGTGGGCCCCGTGACCCCCAGCCACAGGTGGAGGTTCACATGCTATTACTATTATACAAACACCCCCTGGGTGTGGTCCCACCCCAGTGACCCCCTGGAGATTCTGCCCTCAGGTGAGGGAGCCACGGCCTTGTCTAACACACTTTCGGGGCAGCTGACAGGTTGTGGGGAGTTTGGCTGGTGACTGAATCTGGAAAGGACCCAGAGTGATGTGTTGAAGGACGGGCTGAAGGCATGAGGGAGACCCCATGGGGAGGCTCTGACATGGGAGGAGGAGCCCTTGACCACGTTCACCTGGAAGGGGAGGACTCAGGAAGGCATCGGTGTGTTTGCTGTGAGGTCCCAGCTCTCAGGGAGAGGAGGAAAGATCAGGCACAGTGGCCAGGGCTAGGGAGACCCCACTCCTCTGAAATGACTCCAAGACAGCCCCGGGTGAGAAGGAGGCCCTGGGGTCAGAGACTCAGAGCGTGAGAGACAGTGAGACCTGCAGGGCCAGGACGGGAGAAGGAAGGGGCGTGGGAGGAACCAGCCCTCTCAGTCCTGGCTCCTCTTTCCCTCCAGGCGTGTCTAGGAAGCCCTCCCTCCTGACCCTGCAGGGCCCTGTCCTGGCCCCTGGGCAGAGCCTGACCCTCCAGTGTGGCTCTGATGTCGGCTACGACAGATTTGTTCTGTATAAGGAGGGGGAACGTGACTTCCTCCAGCGCCCTGGCCAGCAGCCCCAGGCTGGGCTCTCCCAGGCCAACTTCACCCTGGGCCCTGTGAGCCGCTCCTACGGGGGCCAGTACAGGTGCTATGGTGCACACAACCTCTCCTCCGAGTGGTCGGCCCCCAGTGACCCCCTGGACATCCTGATCACAGGTGAGGAGCCCAGCGGGTTCAGTCAGGGACCCAGGCTCTGCACAGGCCCTGCCGGGGGAGCCCAGGTGGTGATGGCCGGGATGAGGGGTGGGGGTCCCAAGGGAGGGAGAGACAGACAGAGACAGGGGATGGGGGGAGGGGAGACTCAGAGAAAACAGGGACAGAGACACTGAGGGTCCCAGGGAGAGGCCTGGGGAGGTGTCAGCTCAGAGCAAGGTGGGGCAGCCCCTCACCCATCCTTCTTCTCTCCAGGACAGATCTATGACACCGTCTCCCTGTCAGCACAGCCGGGCCCCACAGTGGCCTCAGGAGAGAACGTGACCCTGCTGTGTCAGTCACGGGGGTATTTTGACACTTTCCTTCTGACCAAAGAAGGGGCAGCCCATCCCCCACTGCGTCTGAGATCAATGTACGGAGCTCATAAGTACCAGGCTGAATTCCCCATGAGTCCTGTGACCTCAGCCCACGCGGGGACCTACAGGTGCTACGGCTCACGCAGCTCCAACCCCCACCTGCTGTCTTTCCCCAGTGAGCCCCTGGAACTCATGGTCTCAGGTGAGGGCGCTGACCCCGTCCTCTCTGAGCTCAAAGGCTCAGCTCCGGCCCAGGCCCCCAGGAGAGCTCTCGGCTGGGATGGACCGAGGGAGGCTGTGAGGGAGGCTTAGCCAGAGGGCACCCAGCCCTCAGAGGGGAGGAGGCCAACAGGGGTTCTCCTAGGCGTGGCCACCCGTTCTCCCCTGCCTGGCATGCAGAAGGCACCAGGTGGGCAGAGAGATGGTTCCAGGGAATCCACTGGGCGGAAGCAGGAGAGTGGGAGTGGAAGGGTGCACTCCATGGACGGCCCCCGCCCCTCACCCGCCTCCCGTGCTCCTTCCAGGACACTCTGGAGGCTCCAGCCTCCCACCCACAGGGCCGCCCTCCACACCTGGTGAGTCACTGAGGCCTCTTGGGGAGCGCCGCCTCCCCCAGGGCAGTCTGAGTCTCCCAAAGGATCCCACTCCCCTCCCCTCAAGGACGGGCTTGTGTCCCAGGGGCTCTGAGGCTGGGCTGGTGAGGGGCGGGGGTCGAGGCAGAGGGAGATGTTGGGGCCCAGCCAGGAGGAGGAGCCGGGCTGATGTGGGGGGCAAGACAGCCCCAGCCTTCACCTCCCTGTCCTGACCCAGGAGGTCCTGAGGACCAGCCCCTTAACCCCCCAGGGTCAGGCCCTCAGAATGGTGAGTGAGGGGCTCTGAGTGGGAGATGGGCGGGGTCCAGGGGAGGCAGGGGTGGGTTCTGTCCTAGGTTCAGGCTCCTCTGGAGGTGGTGATGTGGACAGGCCCCTCCCCTGCCTGGGCCTCAGTTTCTCCAAGTGTAAAGGAGAGAGGCCTGTGGGTGGGAAAGTTCCTTTCAGCTCTGACCCCCAGCTGTGACCTCCTGGGAGAGGAGGCCTCCCAGGGAACCTCCCAGACCCGATTCCACAGGGGCCTGTCCCGTCCCACCTGCAGCAGTGACGGTGACCTGGGGCAGGGGAGGGGAGCAGGGCCGTGGTTCAGGACGGTCAGGCTCTTTCCCTGCAGCTCCGGGTCTCGGCTCTGGTGCAGGAACAAGGGCTGCAGGTCAGACTCCCGGGCTCCCTTCCCAGCTCTGCCGCTTCCTCGCTGGAGGCCTGGGGCAGGCGACTCCCTGCTCTGAGCCTCAGTTTGTGCATCTGTGAAATGGGTTGTACGGGTGGCAATTCCATGTTGCACGACTGCTTGTGAGGGTTGGAGGTCACGAAGGAAAGACCTGGCTCGCGCCTGCACACAGTAGGTGCTCACATCAATGACATCATTCCCACTCCTGACGTCCTCATGTCAAGGTCTGGGAAGATACCTGGAGGTTTTGATTGGGGTCTCGGTGGCCTTCGTCCTGCTGCTCTTCCTCCTCCTCTTCCTCCTCCTCCGACGTCAGCGTCACAGCAAACACAGGACATCTGGTGAGTAGGGAAGCGGGGGACCCATGGGTCGACCGAGGGTGGGCTCAGGGCACCAGCCAGAGGGAACCCAAACACACAGGGGTGTCAGTTTAGAAAACCGGTTCCAGGGGCACGTAATTTCAATACGCATTTACAAACTTCAGTATTCATGGGATTTTTTTTCTATCTCATAAAATATTTGGAACATCCATGCAGGAATATTTTTAGTTTTCCTTCTTTCCCTCAAGTTGCATGTGTAGAATGGGAGTTCTAATGTTCCCAGGGCTGAGACTCTGTCCATCTTCACCCAGACCAGAGAAAGACTGATTTCCAGCGTCCTGCAGGGGCTGCGGAGACAGAGCCCAAGGACAGGGGCCTGCTGAGGAGGTAATTCTGCCCCAAAGACCACAGACTCCCACCCACCACAGCCCATACACTGCCCCTCACACTCCCATGTCCTCCTCCAGGTCCAGCCCAGCTGCTGACGTCCAGGAAGAAAACCTCTGTAAGAGGAAGAGAGGGGACAAATGGGGGTGCTGGAGAGACAGGAGTCCCAAAATTTCAGTAGCAACAGGGAGGGGCTGGGAAGGGTCTGGGGCTCCGTGGAAGATGGTCTTGCCCCACACTGTGGGACCTCCCTGCATTCGGTGGCCCCATCTGGGAGCAGGGCAGGGGGCCAGCAGGACTGAGAGGTCTCAGAGAACCAGGAGACGAACCCCTTGCTCTGCCCCAGCAGATGCTGCTGTGAAGGACACACAGTCTGAGGACAGGGTGGAGCTGGACAGTCAGGTGAGATCCCGCCCCGTCCCAGGCACCAAAGGCCTCCTGGTGCCAGATCTAATCCTGCAGGACTTCTCTGTCCTCCTTCCCCCGGCTCTCAGCATCGTCACGGTGGACCCCTCCTTGTCCAGCATGCTGCCTCCCGCCTGCTGTGACCTCACTCTCTTCTGCTGTCCTGGGACCTCGTGGGCCTCCTCCCGGGTCCCCTTCCTGCTCCTCATCCTCTGTTTGGCCGTCTGGTTGTTAGAGCTCTCCCCAGGCCTCAGGAGGATGACGAATAAATGAACCACCTCCGTCCCCTGGGCTCCTCTTCATTCATTCATCCAGCGAGTGTTCCCAGGGAGCTCACTGTGGATGGGGCTCCCCATGGGAGCTGCAGACACAGCAGGGAGCAAAGCCGCCCCCGCCTCCTGAGCTCACCTCACGGTGGGAGACAAAATGCAAATAAATGCATCGTGTCCAGGAGTGCAACGTGCTGTAAGGAACATACACCAGGGAAAGGGCAGAGAGTGTGGGGCAGTGGGGCCAGTCTGAATGGAAGGGGAGGGCTGTCTGCTCAGCTGTCATCTGAGAAGCCTGGACAGAGTGGGGCACATGATCCTCTGATGGACGAGCCCCTGCAGGCAGAGGAAACAGCCGTGCAAAGGCCCCCAGGCAGCAGCGAGCTCTTGCAGGAAGGCCTGTGAGGCTGCAGCCAAATGGGCAAGGTCAGAGTGAGGAGCAGAGGCCAGAACCACAGGGAGGGAGCGGCCAGACCCTCCACGGCCTTAGGGCGTCCCTGAGATTCCATCAGGAAAGGGATGTAATCGGATCACCCCGGGAACAGTGAGGAAAATTGACTCCAGGAGGTCAGGGGGACTCAAGGACACCCCCCACCACTGTCTCTCTCCAGCAGAGCCCACACGATGAAGACCCCCAGGCAGTGACGTATGCCCCGGTGAAACACTCCAGTCCTAGGAGAGAAATGGCCTCTCCTCCCTCCTCACTGTCTGGGGAATTCCTGGACACAAAGGACAGACAGGTGGAAGAGGACAGGCAGATGGACACTGAGGTGAGTCCTTTCCTCTCCAGGCCCCCAGGCCTCCCCCACCCCCACCACGTTCCTTACCTCTCACTCTCCCCCGCTGCAGGCTGCTGCATCTGAAGCCTCCCAGGATGTGACCTACGCCCAGCTGCACAGCTTGACCCTTAGACGGAAGGCAACTGAGCCTCCTCCATCCCAGGAAGGGGAACCTCCAGCTGAGCCCAGCATCTACGCCACTCTGGCCATCCACTAGCCCGGGGGGTACGCAGACCCCACACTCAGCAGAAGGAGACTCAGGACTGCTGAAGGCACGGGAGCTGCCCCCAGTGGACACCAGTGAACCCCAGTCAGCCTGGACCCCTAACACAGACCATGAGGAGACGCTGGGAACTTGTGGGACTCACCTGACTCAAAGATGACTAATATCGTCCCATTTTGGAAATAAAGCAACAGACTTCTCAACAATCAATGAGTTAATAACAAAAAAACAAAAAACAAAAACAGACGTAAAGGCCGGGTGTGGTACTCAGGAGGCTGAGTGGGGAGGATTCCTTGAACACAAGAAGTTAAGGCTGCTGAGGCTGCAGTGAGCTATGACTGTGCCACTGCACTCCAGCCTGTGTGACAGAGCGAGACCTTGTCTCTAAAAAAAAAAACAGTGAATGTTTTAAACTGAATGATAATGTAAATATTATACATCGAACTTATGACATGGGAAAATTAAGAAGCATAAATAGGCCGGGCGCGGTGGCTCACGCCTATAATCTCAGCACTTTGGGAGGCTGATGCGGGCGGATCATGAGGTCAGGAGATCGAGACCATCCTGGCTAACACGGTGAAACCCCGTCTCTACTAAAAATACAAAAAAATTAGCCGGGCGTGGTGGCGAGTGCCTATAGTCCCAGCTACTCAGGAGGCTGAGGCAGGAGAATGGCATGAGCCCGGGAGGCAGAGCTTGCAGTGAGCTGAGATCGCACCACTGCACTCCAGCCTGGGCGACAGAGTGAGATTCCGTCTCGAAAAAAAAAAAAAAAGAAAGAAAAAAAATAAAAAAGAAGCATAACCAGGTGCAGTGGCTCACACCTGTAATCCCAATACTTTGGGAGGGCAAGTGGGGAGGATAGCTTGAGCTCAGGAGTTCGAGTCAGTCAGATCAGCATTGTGAGGCCCCATCTCTACAAAAAATAAAACCAGTCCGGCGTGGTGGCACACACCTGTAGTCCCAGCTACTTGAGAGGCTGAGGTGGGAGGATCACTTGGGTACAGGAGGTCGAGGCTGCAATGAGCCGAGATCGCACCACAGCACTTCAGCCTGGACGAGACCCTGTCTCAAAAAAACAAAACAACTAACAAGCCGGTGAAATTATCTGTTGATTAGTGTTTGCATAATACATTTTTCATCCTTCTGCTTTTTTAATGTGATAAAATATAAACAACAGGCCAGGCACGGGGGTTCATGCCTGTAATCCCAGCACTTTGGGAGGCCAAGGCGGGTGGATCACAAGGTCAGGAGTTCAAGACTAGCCTGGCCAAGATGGTGAAACCCCATCTCTACTAAAAATACAAAAACTGGCCAGGTGTGGTGGCAGGCACCTGTAATCCCAGCTACTAGGGAGGCTGAGGCAGAGAACTGCTTGAACCCAGGAGGCAGTGGTTGCAGTGAACCGAGATCACACCACTGCACTACAGCCTGGGCAACAGAGCAAGACTCTGTCTCAAAAAAAAAAAATTCCAATCTTGTAATCTCTTTTTGATCACTTATATTTAATGTAATCACTGATGACATTACAACCGTATGTCACTTAATGACAGGGATATGTTCTGAGAAAGCCATCATTAAAAAATTTTGGCCAGGCGTGGTGGCTCACGCCTGTAATCCCAGAACTTTGGGAGGCCAAGATGGGTGGATCACCAGAGGTCGGGAATTCGAGACCAGCCTGCTCAACATGGTGAAACCCTGTCTCTACTAAAAATACAAAAATTAGCCGGGCATCGTGGTGCATGCCTGTAATCCCAGCTACTTGGGAAGCTGAGGCAGGAGAATCGCTTGAACCTGGGAGGCGGAGGTTGCAGTGAGCCAAAATCGTGCCATTTCACTCCAGCCTGGGAGACAGAATGAGACTCCATCTCAAAAAAAAGAAAAAAAAAAATTCACCGTCGTGTGAACATCATAGAGTCTACTTACACAAACCTACGTGGTATAACCTACTACATACATAGGCTATACCATCACATATGAAATGTGTAGTGGAGCGAAACATCGTTATGCGGTGCATGACTGTGTTCAGGTGTGCCTTTTTGTTTGTCTCCTCTGCTGTGTGTTGTTTCCCCTTTCCTGCCTACTCTAGGTTTTTAGAAATATTTTGATTTGTTAAAAACTTATGATTCCCCCCTCGCCCGGCCAGCCGCCCCGTCCGGGAGGGAGGTGGGGGGGTCAGCCCCCCGCCAGGCCAGCCGCCCCATCCGGGAGGTGAGGGGCGCCTCTGCCCGGCCGCCCCTACTGGGAAGTGAGGAGCCCCTCTGCCCGGCCGCCACCCCGTCTGGGAGGTGTACCCAACAGCTCATTGAGAACGGGCCATGATGACAATGGCGGTTTTGTGGAATAGAAAGGGGGGAAAGGTGGGGAAAAGATTGAGAAATCGGATGGTTGCGGTGTCTGTGTAGAAAGAGGTAGACATGGGAGACTTTTCATTTTGTTCTGTACTAAGAAAAATTCTTCTGCCTTGGGATCCTGTTGATCTGTGACCTTACCCCCAACCCTGTGCTCTCTGAAACATGTGCTGTGTCCACTCAGGGTTAAATGGATTAAGGGCGGTGCAAGATGTGCTTTGTTGAACAGATGCTTGAAGGCAGCATGCTCGTTAAGAGTCATCACCACTCCCTAATCTCAAGTACCCAGTGACACAAACACTGCGGAAGGCTGCAGGGTCCTCTGCCTAGGAAAACCAGAGACCTTTGTTCACTTGTTTATCTGCTGACCTTCCCTCCACCGTTGTCCTATGACCCTGCCAAATCCCCCTCTGCGAGAAACACCCAAGAATGATCAATAAAAAAAAAAAAAAAAAACTTATGATTCCTTAACTTTTCTATTTAATATTTTTGGACCATGGTTGACCACCAGGTAACTGAAAACACAGAAAGAAAATTACAGATAAAGGGGGACTACTGTATTAGAGTTTTTTAAAAATATATTTTAAATTTTTTTGTAGCAATGGGATCTCACGATGTTGCCCAAACTGGCCTCAAACTTGTGGGCTCAAGAGCCTCCCATCTCCGCCTCCCAAAGTGTTGGGATTACAGGCATGAGCCACTGTGCCCAGCTTAAGAGTTTTTAATTGAAAAATAATAATTGTACATATTTATGGAATACAGAATATTTGATTTTATCTACGTGTGTGTGTGTGGTTTTTTTTTTTTTCGAGATGGAGTTTCACTCTTTTTGCCCAGGCAGGAGTGCAATGGTGCAGTCTCGGCTCACTGCAACCTCCGCTTCCCAGGTTCAAGTGGTTCTCCTGCCTCAGCCTCCCAAGTAGCTGGGACTACATGTGTGCACCACTATGCCCAACATATATATATTTACATATATATATATTTTTTTTTGAGACGGAGTCTCGCTCCATTCTACCTCAGCCTCCCGAGTAGCTGGGATTACAGACACATGCCACCACGCCTGGCTAAGTTTTATATTTTTAGTAGAGACAGGGTTTTGCCAGGCTGGTCTTGAACTCCTGACCT
The DNA here is from genome assembly GCF_000001405.40 of Homo sapiens. NCBI lineage: Eukaryota > Metazoa > Chordata > Mammalia > Primates > Hominidae > Homo > Homo sapiens. Next base: position 188,410 of record NW_003571054.1, on the reverse strand, counting down.
CTTGATCTGCCTGCCTCCCAAAGTGCTGGGATTATAGGCGTGAGCCACCGCACCCGGCCCAACAAATATATTTTTATTGAGATACAACTCTATTTTGTGGCATTTAGTAAATTCACAATATGGTGTAAGCATCACCTCTATCTCATTCCGAAACATTTTTATCATACCGAGAAGGAAACCGAGTTTACATCAAGCAATCACTCCCACCTAATCCCATGCAACAATTAACCTACTTTCTGCCTCTATCGATTGGCCTTCTTTGAATACCTTTTTTTTTTTTTTTTGAGACAGGGACTCACTCTGTCACCCAGGTTGGAGTGCAGTGGTGTGATCTCGGCTCACTGTAACCTCTGCCTCCCAGGCTCAAGCGATCCTGCCACCTGAGCCTCCCAAGTAGCTGGGATCACAGGCACATGCCACCATGCCGGGTGAATTTTTTGTATTTTTGGTAGAGATGGTATTTCACCATGTTGCCCAGGCTGGTCTCAAACTCCTAAACTCAGGCAATCCACCTGCCTTGGCCTCCCAAAGTGCTGGATTACAGGCAATGAGCCACCACACCCAGGCTGGATACTTCTTATAAATGAAATAACGTCATATGTGACCTTTTTTTCCTGACTGCTTTTATCTAGTATATTATCAAGGTTCACACATGTAGCATGTATGAGTACTTCATTCCTTTCTACGGTTGAATAATATTTTGTTGTAAGGATATACCACACTTTCTCTATTCACCAGCTGATAGACATCGCTACAAAAATAAGTAGTGGCTGTGGAGGTGCACGTCTGTAGTCCCAGCCACTCGGGAGCCTGAGGTGGGAGGATCACCTGAGCCACGATGTCAAGGCTGCAGTGAGCTATGATAGTGCCACTGCACTCCAGCCTGGGCAACAGGCCTCATCTTTTAAGCAAAGAAAAAAGAGGCCGAGCATGGTGGCTCATGCCCGTAATCCCAACACTTTGGGAGGCTGAAGCGGGCGGATCACCTGAGGTCAGGAGTTCAAGACCAGCCTGGCCAACATGGTAAAACTCTGTCTTTACTAAAAAATACAAAATTTAGCTGGATATGGTGGCGCGCATCTGTAATCCCAGCTAACTGGGAGATTGAGGCAGGAGAATCGCTGGCACCTGGGAGGTGGAGGCTGCAGTGAGCTGAGATCACGCCACTGCACTCCAGCCTGGGTGACAGAGCAAGACTCTGTCTCAAAAACAAAAAAAAAAAAAAAGAAAAAGAAAAAAGAGGCCGAGCATGATGGCTCATGCCTGTAATCCTAACACTTTGGGGGGCCAAGGCAAGAGGATGATTTAAGGTCAGGAGTTCGAGAATAGCCTGGCCAACATGGTGAAACTCTGTCTCTACTAAAAATACAAAAATTAGCCAGGCGTGGTTGCACGTGCCTGTAATCCAGCTACTTGGGAGGCTGAAGCAGGACAATCACCTGAACCCAGGAGGTGGAGGTTGTAGTGAGCTGAGGTCACGCCACTGCACTCCAGCCTGGGAAACAGAGCAAGACCATGTCTAAAAAAAAAAAAAAAGGGGGAAAGAAAAGAAAGAAAAAAAGAGTGCTACTCATTAACAGGAAAGTTGGCTGGGCGCGATGGCTCACGCCTGTAATCCCAGCACTTTGGGAGGCCGAGGCGGGTGGATCACGAGGTCAGGAGATCGAGACCATCCTGGCTAGCACGGTGAAACCCCGTCTCTACTAAAAATACAAAAGATTAGCCGGGCGTGGTGGCGGGCGCCTGTAGCCCCAGCTACTCGGGAGGCTGAGGCAGGAGAATGGCGTGAACCCGGGAGGCGGAGCTTGCAGTGAGCCGAGATCGCGCCACTGCACTCCAGCCTGGGCGACAGAGCGAGACTCCGTCTCAAAAAAGAAAGTCAGTGAAGGGACCTGTTTGGGAAAACAAAGCCCAGGCTCGAAGGAAGCTTGTGCTTCCCTCTGTGAGCAAGTTAAGTCTTAGAAACATCTCCCCGAGCCTCCTTCTCCCACGCGGGTCGTCTGTCCTGCGGCAGCCCCACTGGTTCCTCCCATCAACCAAGGCAGAGAGTGGAAAAGCTCCTCACACTCTTCTGCTTCACACACAGTGAACAAATCCAAACCTCTCTGCCCACATCCCTCCTCACCCGGCTCCACCCATGTCCGCTGGTCCATCCCCACAGTCTAAGCTCAGCTGGGGACCGAGGACGCCCTGTCTGTGCACTGCACCAACCTCCCTCCTGGCCCCCTACTGGCTCCCATCCCTACTCCAGTCCATCCCTCTCATCACTTCCGAGGCCTCTTCTGACCATCTTACCTGGCTGTGACCCTCCACTGCTCAAATTCCCCCAACGGGGCTCCATCTTCCAAAAATAAGATGCACGTTCCTGTACTTCATGTTCAAGCCTGTTGATGACCAAACCTGATACACTTTCCAGCTTCACAGGCTATGGCTCCCCCTCTGCCACACCAAACTCATCACAGTTACCCACCCCCTGCCACACACACACAACCTCAGTTATTAAACACGTGTAAGTCTTCTGACGGCCGCTCCCTGAGCCAATCCGGATGTAGCTGACACCTCTGCAGAGCTGGTAGACTATGACAAAGAGAAGCCCTCCTGCCTCGTTCCACTCCACTGTAAACGTATGTGTGTCATAGGTCATGAGGAGTCCACATAAACCACTTAGAATCCTTATCAGCACATTGCCTAGTGGCTGGGCTCACGCTGGAGTGTGGTTATGGTTAACCATTAGTGAAACCCTCCCATATTGCATTCTGTGCAGTGATGGGCTTGTAAAAACAGACATCTGTTTCCACTGTGCTTTCTAAAGATTCCCCGGTTTTTTTTTTTTTTTTTTTGAGATGGAGTCTCACTCTGTCACCTAGGCTGGAGTGCTGTGGCGCGATCTCGGCTCACTGCAACCTCCACCTCCCGGGTTCAAGTGATTCTCCTGCCTCAGCCTCCCGAGTAGCTGGGATTACAGGCGTCCACCACCACACCTGGCTGATTTTTTGTGTCTTTAGTAGAGACGGGGTTTCACCATGTTGGCCAGGCTGGTCTCGAACTCCTGACCTCATAATCCACCCACCTCCGCCTCCCAAAGTGCTGGGATTACAGGTGCAAACCACCGTGCCGGGCCGGATTTTCCATTTTCTTAAACATAGCATCCAATAAATCTTCACGGTGCACAAGTCCCCTGAATGACAAGGTCCCAGCTTCCTTTGGCTCACTCTCAGGTCTGAGAACAGCCCACACTGTTTCTGGTGGAGGACACTCTGCGTGCCACACTCACTGTTCACGTCTTGGTCTCTCCATCCCCCAGAAGGACCCCTCACTCCCATGACAGGTGTACGCTGCTCACCTGCTATGAGCATGTTTTCCTCCTTTCCTACAACTTGTCGAAACCGGAGCAGAATTACCTCCTATCTAAACATGGGTAACGTGTCATTAACCCAGGCTCTGTGAGTCCAGCAGGAATCCTATCAGCTTCACCCACGACTCCCCTCCTCCTGGCAGCATGCCTGGATGTGGTAACCACTGAATAAACATCGCCTGATCGCAAGGCTCATGAAAGAAAAGATGCATTACAGAGCTCAGGACATGGAAGGGGCTTGCCTCTAGAATTAGAACAGTGACTGGGCTGTGTCCTAAGGCCCTGCCCTCTCTGGCCTCAGCCTCATGTGCTAGAACAAGGGTCACCCCTGGATGAGAGTTGGGTGAGGTGGAAGCAGGCAGAGTATGGGGAAGTCAAATTTTGACTCAAATGTGGTCTGAAAGGCCCCCAGAGCCTGCTGTCCCCTCAGCCCCATCCTTCAGGGGGAGCAGAGCGAGGCCCTGGGGAAGGGGCTGTTCCCCTCCTGCAAGGCCACTGGTGAGAACACATGACCTGTAACACAGAGCCCGGGGCTCCTTATACCAGCACACCCATCTGCCCTCCAGGCTCTGTGGCTCAATGGTCTAATTCATCTGCACTGCTGGGGACCGTGACAGGCAGGGCCACAACCCCCACCCTCATTGCCCATCTCCCTGCTGTGTGTCCAGGGAAGCCTTAGGTGGACACGGGGTGGTCAGTGACCCCGACCTCTTGGGCCAGAAGCACAAGGCAGAAGGCATGGAGTTGAGACCGGTAAGAGCTCTCCCTGCAGGCCCCAGCGGGCCCCAGAGAGTACGCATCCCCTAAATACCAGTCGCCTCATCTCAGGGGCGTCCAGGCAGCCCTCAGCCCTCCCTCTCAGCACAGCCGGGATCGCCGGTGCTCTCTGGAGACAGCCTGACCCCTCAGCATCACTCAGAGGCCGGTTTTGACAGCTCTGCATTGACCAGGACAAGGGGCTCCCAGCCCGCCAGCGCCTAGATGGGCAGCACCTCCTGGACGTCCCCCTGGGCCATGCGAGCCACCCCCCTGGGGGCCAGCACAGATGCTGCGGTGGACACAATGCCTCCTGCCCAAGGTCGGTCCCCCGTCGCCCCCACCCAACATCCTGGTTGCAAGTGAGGGGCCCCTACCCAGACCCCATCCCGTTCTCTGCTCTGGACCCTGGGCTCAGGGTCGAGAGAGAGAATGATACAGGGATGTGGTCCAAGGAGATCACCAAGAAAGGGAGAGCAAGAGGCCCGGAGATTAAACAGACCCACGCAGGCCAGGCACTGTGGCTCACACCTGTCATCCTAGCGCTTTGGGAGGCGAGTGGATTGCTTGAGGCCAAGGGTTTTAGATCAGCCGGGGCAACACATTGAGACTCCATCTCTACAAATTCTTGAGATGGAGTCTCCCTCTGTTGCCCCGCTCGCTGCCTCTGTAGACAGAGCCCTGAAGACCCTTTTCCTTTCCAAGCCCGTAGGCTTCTCCCCAGAACCGCATACCTCAACTCCCACTCTCCCCTCCCTCCAGGCTGCCGTGGAGCTCCGCAATTGTGAGCTACACCCAGGTGAGCCACCACCTCTCAGACCAGAGACAACTGCAGTCTCTTCCTCCCAGGGGAGCTCCCAGGAGCCCAGTGAGTACGCTGCCCCGGCCATCCACTAGCCCAGACCCCACGCTCCAAGGAAGGAGACCACAGTGAGCCCAGATGGTGCAGCAGCTGGCCCCATGGACACAAGACCACCGTCATTTCCCAAGTAGCAACGCTGAGGGAAGGAAGGGCCAACCACCTAGCTTGAGTAAGCCGCAATGGACTTCTCCACGTGGTTTACAGTAACTTAGCTGTGTTCCAGAACTGTCCCTGCCCTGACCTCAAACCCTGAAGGCCTCCAGATAAGGACCCAATCAACTACAGCCTGCAGCCTGAGGGGGTTGCACAATTTCAGGTTTCTCACTTCCTCAGAAACCAAACCCCTTCCCAACACAGATGATCAACAAGGCTGAGAAAAGGGAAGCCTGCCAACCTCTTGACCGTGAGTCCACAGAAGCACTGAACGCGGAGAGGAGGAACAGACTTCCCTCAACGCCCCTTCTCCTACGCTAACCCACTTCCCCTACATGTGAAGACAAAACTGGGAACTTGCCCAACATCAACCGCATCACAAGCTTTGAAACTAGCAAGCAAATTCTGTGAAGTGTTCCCCAACAATCACCAACAGTTCACCTTCCCCAGCAACCCGTCAGCCTCTGGTCAGCTCCCATCCCACCTGTCTCTTGCCTGGCGGGGTCAGGGTCCCAGGGCCAGCAGGCAGGGAAGGCCCCCACCTCCACTCGGTGCCTGCCCTGCCTAGCAATGACCGGCTCCCTCCCACCCCTATATGCAAACACCGGCTTACTTGGAATTTCCTTCTGGTTTTGACACAGTTTTTCCAAAAATACCACTCGTCTCTCCCCTGATGACAGAAGTTTCTGGTAAAGATGTGTGTTCACTACTGTAGAATAGTACTGAGAGGCCAGGGACCACTAGCTGGTAGGCACTCCCAAGTGAGTGAGCCTCCCAGGGAAGGCTGCATGTTTAGAGCAGGGGAAAGAGTCAAGGATGAGAGACCCCCACACACCAATTGTAAAGCGCTGATCCTGTTTATTTGGCAGGAAAACGAGACAATCCAGCAGCCCAGGAGGGACAGGTGGACTTAATCCTCCTCCTCGTCGTCTCCAGCCCCAGCCCCACCCTGGCCCTTCTTGGCATTCTTCCTCTTCACGCGGCCCGGGCGGCCACCCCCGTAGGGAGAGCGCAGAGAGAAGTCAATGTGCTTCTGGGAATCCAGGCGGACAATGAAGGACGGGATGTTCACCACCTGCTTGCGGACCCTGGAAGCAGCGACAAGGTGAGGTGGACTGGAGGAGAAACGGACGCTAACCCCAGCTACCGCACCACTCTTTCCTCTCCACCCACCCCGTGAGGCCGCCACGGCTGCAGACACCAAGGCGCTGCAGGAAGGGTGCACCTGATCCTACGTGCGCCCTCCGGGGTTTTAGGGTATCACCTTAATCCCCAAAAATGCTTCAGATGACTTTCTCAACCCCATTTTATAGGAGAAATCTGAAAGTATCCCACCTAAGACCACAAAGCAAATGAGATGGCCATGTGAGAGCCCCCAAGTTCCGAGTCTGAAATATCGTGAACCCCACACCTGACACTGAGCTGTATTACCACGTGCAGCCGCAATGCCCACAATAACACAGCAACCCGAGGCTACGTCTCCGACGAAAGCATTGACACACAAGGCTCTGCCTACGGCTCACAGGGTTAGTGAAGGGCTGGGGCGAAGATTCTAAACGCAAACATCTTGCCCTCTTTCTGTACAGCTCCTCCCCCTCAATGGTGCCACATTACAGAAAGGGCACACTGAGTACCCAGAACGCAGTCATGGATCGGGGTCTGGAATCAACTTCACAAGCGAGCCAGGAGACAGCTGAACCCACCACCCAAGCGAGGTGAGGCTGGTTCTCTCCCTCCACTGGGGACACCAAGAGCTGTTACCTGTCCAGCTGCCCACATGCCTGGCAGAGGCCTTCACAAGGTGTACGGCTAGAGCCGCAGTGACCCTTGCGCTGGGCTATTGGGGCAAGAGGCTGCCCCAGCTCCCTGGTGAGCTGTGTGCAAGGGTGAATCTGTACCCTCTGGGTGAGTTCACACCCATCACCTCCGAGGGCTGCATAGGAGATAGGGACAGCAGGCTTAGTGAGGGCAACCATCAGAGGGGCAGGTGGAGGAAGATTCAGGTGCCCATCCGAGGTGGTACCTGATATGGCGCTGGCGGATCAGCACGCGAGCGTGGTGGATGGACTTGGCCAAGCCCAGCTTGAAGACCTGGGTCTGCAGGCGTCTCTCTAAGAAATCCTCTATCTTCAGGCCCAGGATGTAATCCAGCTTCATCTTGCCCTCATCCAGCACCCCAATGCGGACCAGCCGCCGCAGCAGGGCGTTGCCTGGGAAGAGTGGGAGGAAACACTGATTCCGCCTTCTGACCTCAGGCTTCTTGGGTTCAAATCCTGGCTCCGCCTCTTGGTAGCTCCATGCCGCGGCGGTGAGGCACAAGTAGTACAGCGCCATCACCGTGACCCATGTCACTGTCAAAACCACCCTACGGGCTGGGAGTGGTGGCTCACACCTGTAATCCCAGCACTTTGGGAGTCCGAGACGGATCACTTGAGGTCAGGAGTTTGAGAGACCAGCCCGGCCAACATGGCGAAAGCCCGTCTCCACTAAGATTACGAAAAATTAGCCAGGCCGTTGGCGCACTGCCTGTAATCCCAGCTATTCAGGAGGCTGAGGAAGGAAAACTGCTTGAACCCAGGAGGCGGAGGTTGCAGTGACCTGAGATGGGGCCACTGCACTCCAGCCTGGGCGACAGAGTGAGGCCCTGTCACAAAACAAAACAATACAAAAAACCAAACTACCCTATGGTTGTCAGGTCATCATTCATAGTAAACTGCAGATGACAGGAGGGCAAAATACACCTGCCTCCTCATCTGAGAGCATACATCCCTCGCTCCACATTCTTAGCAAGAGTAAAGGAAATCACCTCCTTACAAGGACTCAGTCTGCAAAAGACCAAATGCAGCTGCTATTAAGCTACTACCACCGTAACAAAGCACAGTGCTGAAGAGTTCATATCCTCAGCCCAGAAAGCTCTTCTGATTAAGCAGATGTGAGATTGAATCACATTCCGTGCCATAAATAGCAGTATCTACATCTTTTAAGGAGAGAAAAGTAATTTCTAACACTAGAATTTTTCCAGCTAAGTACATGTCATTCATTTTACTATTCTGTACAAAATTTTCCACCAAAAATATATCTAGTATGTATATAACCTAACAATGCACTGCATAAAATATCCAACAGATGCCCTACTACACCTTTCTTCCAACCCCAGGCTCAGGACGGCTTGCTCCTTACCCTGTCCAAAGCCATGGCTTCTAGCTAATACTCTGGACTGCCCTTGCCCACAGCCCCAGGGCCCTGGGGGCAAACGCCATCCCCTAGGCTCCCGCTCACTGCTATAATCCCACACGCCTTCAGCAAATCAACTGCCCCTTGACTGGGGTAAACACCTCAACCTTTTTTCCTTATGTGCACTTTTATAAAAAGTGGCTCTTACTAGTTACAGCAAACCATTCAAGCAAGCTTTCATAAATAGATCTACATGCATCAGGCACTTCTGATATTCCTGGCACTGTTACCCTCCAAGCAAAGTTTGAAAGAAAGCTAGCTCACTTTGTGAGGACCCAAAGTTTTCCCAGTAGGGAGCAGTTACAGGTAGGGAGAATCAAAATGGAAACACCAGCTGTGTGCATTTCCAGCATCCTATGTCATACTATGGCTTCAATTTTTGTTCTTTTTTAACTCAACATCAGAGGATATTTAAACACCTGAATATCAAAATACAAAAACATGTCCAAAAGGCAATGAAAATGAGTTTGGGATCATTTACCTCTTTGGACACTTCACGCCTTTTTGTCTTTACATTAGAAAATGGAAACTTAAGCCACGCACAGTCCCTTATGCCTGGCCTATAAACCCAATATTTTGGGAGGCTGAGGCAGGAGGATCAGTTGAGTCCAGAAGTTTGAAACTAGCCTCGGCAACACAGTGAGACCGCATTTGTACCAAAACAAACAAAAAAGTAAAACTAAATTAGCCGGGCATGGTGGTACATGGTGGATTGTGGTCCCAGCTACTAGAGCTGAGGAGGATCACTTAAGCACAGGAGGTCCAGGCTGCAGTGAGCCACGACCATGCCACTGTGCTCCAGCCCGGGAGACAAAGTGAGATCGTCACCATTAGGCAAAACAAAGGCATGATTTTAAAAAAATGTTTCACATTTATTATCATTTTTGAGACAGAGTTTCGCTCTCGTTGCCCAGGCTGGAGTGCAATGGCGTGATCTCGGCTCACTGCAAACTCCGCCTCCTGGGATTCTCCTGCCTCAGCCTGGGATTACAGGCATGCGCCACCACGCCCCGCTAATTTTGTATTTTTTCAGTAGAGACTAAGGGGTTTCTCCACTTTGGTCAGGCTAGTCTCAAACTCCCGACCTCGGGTGATCCGCCTGCCTCTGCCTCCCAAAGTGCTGGGATTACAGGCATGAGCCACTGCACTCAGGCCCACATTTATTGAACCATCTATCTCCTGAAAAAGAACAGGAGAGTCAGCCACAGGCAAAACCTTTAAGTATGAAGACAATAGTTTTCAACAGCACAATAAATCTTACACCTTCAACAAAAGCATGTCCTACTGCTGAGGCTCCACTGGGCCAATGCACCAAGAGAATTTAAAATGCTTTAAAAATGCAAACCAGGGAGGACCTCAGTGGGAAACAGGTCCTTGTCATCATACAAGGCAGTTAGGTATTACAATGCCTTCATTTCTGATCTGAAAAATGGACATGACTCCTACATTTCTTCACAGTTGTGCTGGGGGGTGGGGGGGGAGTTCGTGTTGTTTTGTGTCTCGCTGTCACCCAGTGCAGTGCCGCGGATCTCGGCTCACTGCAGTCTCTGTCTCCCAGGTTCAATCAATTCTCCTGCCTCAGCCTCCCGAGTAGCTGGGATTATAGGCACACCACCATGCTCGGCTAATTTTTGTATTTTTCGTAGAGATGGAATTTCACCACGTTGGCCAGGCTGGTCTCTGACTTGAGGTCTCCTGACCTCAAGTGATCCGACCACCTCGGTCTCCCAAAGTGCTGGGATTACAGGCATGAGCCACCACGCCTGGCCTCTATCTGTTGATTATTAACTGCCAGCCAAATGTTGGCGGCTGTTCAGTCTTAACAGACGAGACTCAGAATCTCGCTAGTCACACATCTTAGTGGGAAAGGCTGGATCTGAATCAAGGCAGGATTACACCAAAGAGCAAACATCCAAGCTCCTCCTTCCTGTCCCTGACTAGGCTAGATGGCTTCATTTACTAGAAAGTGTACTCACCTGAACAACTGTGTACCCCTTGGGAATTTTCACTTCTGCCTTGGAAAACCACAAATAACCCTCAGACACCTGCACCGCTTTCTCACATGACTGTAAGTTTCATTGCAATTAGGATCTATGTCCAGAAAGTCCTCCCTAAAACCAGAACCAGCTATAGCCCACTCCCCACAGAACCCTGGGATGAATTCCCACCCAGCATCAGTATCTATGGGGGAGGGATCTCCAGCACTTTCATGAGATTATCAACGGGGTCTACAAATTGACGAAAAGAATGAAAGGGTCAGGTGCGGTGGCTTACACCTGTAACCCCAGCACTTTGGAAAGCTGAGGTGGATGGATCACTTGAGGTTAGGAGTTGGAAACCATCCTGGTCAACACTGCAAGATCCTGTGCCTATTTAAAGAAAAAGCTTCTAACATCTGCAAGCCTGGGACAAACTGTGATAATCTGTAGCTAAACATGCGCCAGGACTTTCTCAACGCCTAACATGGATGACCACTCTCATGCCTAACAGTCAGGGCTCAGGTGTAGAGACTGCTTTTCACCATAAATCATGACTACCCAAACTCAGGCAAAAGCAGCGTCTCAGGATATACAAATGCCAATCTTGGTCATGCCAATCTGCTGTAGAAAGCACTCCAATAACACCGCATCTCAGAGTAGATTTTAAAACAAGATGGTTAAGATGGTACATTTTCAATTTAATGTGTATTTCACCACAATTAGTAAAGTAAGCCTAAGTCTATGTGATCTGCATGCCCTCCTAAAGTCATCACCTGAAATGCTGTTCCCTGAGACATTTTACAGGTTCTCTCCTGTTCAGGCCTTTGCTAAATACCACCTAAATGTCCTTGACCAGCTTAAAAAAACAAGCACCAGCCTGGACAACATGGTGAAAACCCATCTCCACTAATAATAGAAAATTAGCCAGGCTTGGTGGCCCATGCCTGTGATTCCAGCTACTTAGGAGGCTAAGACAGGAGAATCGCTTGAACTCTGGAGGCGGAGTTTGCAGTGAGCCAAGATTGCGACAACTACACTCCAGCATGGGCAATGGAGCGAGACTCCGTCTCAAAAGTAAAATTAGCCAGGTGTGGTGGCGTGCGCCTGTCTGTAGTCCCAGCTACTTGGGAGGCTAAGATAGGAGAATTGTTTGAACCCAGGAGGCGGGGGTTGCAGTAAGCCGAAATGGCGCCACGGCACTCCAGCCTGGGCAACAGAGCAAGACTCCGTCTCAAAAGACTAAATAAAACGAGAAAACTTAATTAAAAAAACAATAAACCAAGCAAATGTGCAAACCCTGTTATCACCATCACTTAGCCCAGAAATTCCACTTCATAGTCTACTCTCATCCACTAGCAAACAGGCCACATAAACAGAATATAAAGATATAGACGGGTGCCCAGGTGTGCCAGGCCTATCTTTAGCTCTGGTCATTACTAAACTGAAGGTCCAATAACTGGGCAAAAAAGCCACACACCTAAGAAACAGGGCAAAGACTGATCCAGATACACTTTTCCTACTCCACAAGTGCCACTAAAAGTTAGAAGGCTGGTTCCATTTATCCAATGACACAACTCTCATCACTGGAACAGAGGCAACAGAAGGGAGAATGAACCTCACAAGCCCTGCACCCCATCCCTCTGCTGTGGACTCCCATACGCACCTTCGAACAGACGCCGTGGGTCCTTCTCATCAAGCGTCAGCAGTTCCCGGGCGGCCTTGCGGATCTTGGCCAGGGTAAATTTGACCCTCCAGACCTCACGTTTGTTCCGGAGCCCATACTCGCCTGGTGGGGAGAAGGGGGTGGACAAGTGTAGTCCCACGTACTGGCACAACAACTAGACTGGCAGCTTTGGAATCACAAAACCTTCCTAAACCACGAATAGTACCAAATTTAGGGGACGGACTAGATAGAGTACATGGGCACCTTCATCCACGTGCTAACCGCCTCCCGGAAGCCGAACCACTTCCCGGAAGCCTTGGCCACTCACCGATCAGCTTCAGCTCTTGGTCGAGACGAGATTTCTCGAAGGGTCTCCGCGGGGTCACATAAGTTTTGCGACAAACCCAGCTCCGGGCCACTGGCATGTTGGCTCCGCTTCCCCGTCTGCGCCTGCGCGGGAGAGAAGTGTGAGCGTAAGGGCTCCAAACGGCGCCTGCGCAGTCCCACAACTACGCCAAAACCTCGCGGAGCCCAGATCCGATCTCGCGAGAATAACCTCCAACGCTCTCATAGTCAGTATCTGCCCCCACAACCGTGCTGCACTCCCGTTCAACCACCCTGCTCTGTTTCCTAACGTCTTTAGCTTACTCATGGAAACTCGGAAGGCCCGGGCCACCATCCAACCCAAACCCTAGAGAAAAAGCACACCACCGCACCTCACCTAAGCAAACCACCCGGTCACTGAGAAAGAGGCGCGCAAGCGCCACGGCTGCGCTCTTATAGTAACGCCGGCGTCTCGTGACGTTTTCACGCACCACGCACGTCAGAGCCAATCAGAAGAGGCGTTGGCTGGCTGAGAAGCAGTGGAGACGTGAGGCTGGGCTAGAGCGGCGTGCTAACCTGGGAGGACTAGGTTTTTTCCGGCCAGGGAGTGGAAACCTGAGAAGTAGGGAGAACCTTCCTTCTCCGCCCCTGGACGGTGGTTTTTCTTTTTCTTTCTGAGACAGGGTCTCGCTCCGTCGCCCAGGCTGGAGTGCAGTGGCGTGATTTCGGCTCACTGAGGCCCCGACCAACCTCTCGGGCTCGAGCGATCCTCCCACCTCCTCCCCAGTAGCTGGGATTACAGGCACACGCCACGACGCCCGGGTAGCATTTTTTTTTTTTAACAGTCGGCGTCTTGCCATGTTGCCCAGGCTGGTCTTGAACTCCCGGCCTCGAGAGAGCCTCCCGCCGTGGCCCCCCCAAAGTGCTGGGATTACAGGCGTGAGCCACCGCGCCCAGCCGAGATTATTTCTGTCACTAACAATAATGTGGCATTCTGGAACGCTATGTGCCACATACTGTTCTAAGAATTTTAAATGTATTTACTCAATCTTCAATACATACTTACAGAGCACTCTCAGAGAAGTTGCCCCCCCACCCATGGTACTATTATTATCAATAGCCACTTAAGGGGTATTAGTACTATTATCAGTAATTTATTTTATTTTTGAGACGGAGTTTTTCGCTCTCGTCACCCAGGCTGGAGTGCAGTGGTGCGATCTCGGCTCACTGCAACCTCCGCTTCCCGGGTTCAATCGATTCTCGTGCCTCAGCCTCCCGAGAAGCTGGGACTACAGGCGCCCACCACCATGCCCGGCTAATTTTTAAATTTTTAGTAGAGACGGGGTTTTGAACTCCTGGTCTCCAACGCCTGACCTCAAGTGATCCACCCGCCTCAGCCTCCCAAAGTGCTAAGATTACAGGTGTGAGCCACCGCGCCTGACCTAGAGTTCTCTTTTTATATATAGTCTGGTTATTGTCTGTCTGTACACCCATCTCTCCACTCCGAATGCGATGGTCTGTCTCCACAGCTCGTGTTCTTCAGTTGTCTTCCCTACGCTGCTGCCTCGGCAGTCACTATCTCCTCAGGAAGCAGTCCCACCCGCCCCTTTCTCTTCCACGGCATCCACACCATCCGGATGCCTGGATTCAAATGCCACGTCACCACTTGCCAGCTGCAGTGCCTTCGACAAGTTTCTCAATCACTCTGTGCCTCAGCGTCCTCCTCTGTAAAACGGCGAATGATGGTAGCGCCTACCTCATAAGCTTGTGAGGATTAAGTGAGAGTCTATCCAGTGTTGAGGAGAGTGGCATAAATAAAGCGCCTAGTGGTAGCTACCATCGTCATTATTGTCATCTGCATTGTACTTCCATATCTTACAAACTACCTTGTTCAGTTTTATGGGTTTTTTGTTTGTTTGTTTTGTTGTTTTGAGACGGGGTTTTGCCATATTGCCCAGGCTGGTCTTGAACTCCTGGGCTCAAGTGATCCACTCGCCTCAGCCTCCCCAAGTGCTGGGATTACAGGTGTAAGCCACCATGCCTGGCCAAATTTTATGCATTTTTGTATCTTGAACACGCGTATATTATTCATCTGGAAGGGGGAAACGTGGAAGGAAAAAACTTCCATAAGTTTTCACTCCCTTCAGGATGAAGTCCAAGCTCCACAAATTCCGGGTGCCTCGTGATTACAGAGATGGTTTTATAATGGTGGTTGAACCTGTAGGTTCTCAAGTCTTAAAAAAGATCTGCGTTTGAACCTCAGCAGTCACTGACGAGCTCTTGATCTTAGGCAAATTAGCCTCTTCAAGAGTGCTAAATGGGAGAAAGTAACAGGACTTTCCTCATAGGGTTTGATGATTTAGAGTAAAAAAAAAAAAAAAAGAAAAGAAAACCAGCACAGAGTCTTGTGTACTGAAGGTGCTTAATATCTTAACACAGCTGACTCTGTACAGTCTGGGGGCGAGGGGCACTGACCCCCAGCTCAGCCGAAAACCTCCATATAGGCTGGGCGCGGTGCCTCACGCCTGTAATCCCAGCACTATGTGGAAGGCCAAGGCCGGCGGATCAACTGAGGTCAGGAGTTCGAGACCAGCCTGGCCAACATGACAAAACCTGGTCTCTACTAAAAATACAAAAATTAGGCAGGCGTGGTGGCAGGTGCCTGTAATCCCAGCTACTTAGGAGGTTGAGGCAAGAGCATCGCTTGAACCCAGGACGTGGAGATTGCAGTGAGCCGAGATCGCACCACTGCACTCCATCCTGGGCGACAGAGCAAGACTGCCTCAAAAAAAAAAAAAAAAAATCAAGAAAGAAAATCTGCATATAACTTTTGACTTCCCCAAAACTTAACTACTAGGCCAGGCACCGTGGCTCACACCTGTAACCCCAGGTGGGATTTGGGAAGCTGAGGTGGGCAGAGCACTTGAGCCCAGGAGTTCAAGACCAGCCTGGGCAACACGGCAAAACCCAGACTCTACAGAAAACAGAAAAATTAACTGGGTGTGGTGGTGTGTGCCCGTAGTTCCAGCTACTTGGGAGGCTGTGGTGGGAGGACTGCTTGAGTCAAGGAGGTTGAGGCAGCAGCGAACTAAGATCATGCCCCTGCACCCCAGCCCAGCTGGCAGAGCAAGACACTGTCTCAGGATTTAAAAAAAACATTACTCGTAGTTGACTGGAAGCCTTACCAATAACATAGTCAATTAACACATATTTTATACGCTATATGTATTATATTCTGTATTCCTATGATGAATTAAGCTAGAGAAAAGAAAATATTGGCCGGGCGTGATGGCTCATGCCTGTTACCCCAGCACTTTGGGAGGCTAAGGCGGGCGGATCACCAGGTCAGGAGATCGAGACCATCCTGGCTAACACGGTGAAACCCCATCTCTACTAAAAATACAAAAAATTAGCCGGGCGTGGTGGCAGGCGCCTGTAGTCCCAGCTACCGGGGAGGCTGAGGCAGGAGAATGGCGTGAACCCGGGAGGCGGAGCTTGCAGTGAGCTAAGATCGCGCCACTGCACTCCAGCTTGGGTGACAGAGCGAGACTTCGTCTCAAAAAAAAAAAAAAAGAAAATATTAAGAAAATTCTAAAAAAGAGAAAATATATTTACTATTCATTAAGTGGAAGTGGATCATCATAAAGGTCTTCATCCTTGTCTTCATTCTGAGTAGGCAGAGGTGCAGAAAGAAGAGGAGGGTTTGGTCTTGCTGTCTCAGGGTGCCAGAGGTGGAGGAGGTAAAAGGCAAAGCAGGAGAGGCAGGCATGCTCTGTGTAACCTTTACTTTTTTCAATCTGCATAAAAGTGGACCCGAGCAGTTCAGACCCATGTTGCTCAAGGGTCAACTGATGAGATCTGGCCTCACCCTGATCCTCTTCAGAAGCATGGTCCAGTCATATGGCACCAGGCCCTCTTCCACAAACCCCTCATGCTTCCTCCTCTCTCTCTCTCACTCAGGCTGGAGCCCTCTAGCCCTTCCTCTCTGAAAGGAGCACGGGTAATATAAGAGGAACCCTTGGTTTCCATCATGGGTTGCCAAGGACCAGCTGGGCATGCTTGGGGAGCTGAATTCCTTTCCTTTTGTACAAGTGTAATAAAATCTAATTATGCCCCATCCATAGGACGCAAAACCATGTAGCTGTTGGCAAAAATGAGACAAGCCTGGGCATATCCAATAAGCAAGATGCAGAAGTGTGCATAGTATGCTACAATTTTCATTAATAAAAATGACCTTAACGTATGTATATTTATTTAAAATATGCTTAGAAAGTCATGTAGGAGAAATTATAATTTCCAAATTGTCTCAGCCCTGATTTAAAAATTATAGTTTAAGCCACTCATTTATTTAGCAACAATGTATTGACTGCTGTGTGCCAGGAACTGTTCTTGGACCTGGGGATACTGCATGAACAAGGGTAAATAAAACAAAAACCAAAACCAAAACCTTGTCCTTAACTAGAAACAAATGCCAATCACCTGATGAATGGATAAATAAAATGGGGTTATGTCCATACAATGGAATATCCAGCAGTAAAGAGGAACAAAGCTGGCCGGGCACGGTGACTCATGTCTATAATCCTAGCACTTTGGGAGGCTGAGGTGGGCGGATTGCCTGAGCTCAGGAGTTCGAGCCTGGGCAATTATGGTGAAACCCTGTCTCTACTAAAATACAAAAAATTAGCCTGACGTGGTGGCAGGCGCCTGTAATCCCAGGTACTTGGGAGGCTGAGGTGGGAGAATCGCTTGAACCCACTTGAACCCAGGAGGCAGAGGCTGCAGTGGGCCGAGATTGTGCCACTGCACTCCAGCCTGGGCAACAGAGCAAGACTCTGTCTCAAAAATAAAAAAAATAAATAATAATAATAATAATAAGCAAGGAAGAGAATGCACATGGCCAGTTCATGAGGAAGCTGCAAAGTAGGACCTTTGAGTTTTACTCTGAGATGGAAAACTCCAGGAAAGTTTTAGACAGAGCTGTGACATGGTCTGACTTATCTTTTAATATGATGATTCTGGCCGGGCGCGGTGGCTCACGCCTGTAACCCCAGCACTTTGGGAGGCCGAGGCGGGTGGATCACAAGGTCAGGAGATCGAGACCATCCTGGCTAACATGGTGAAACCCCGTCTCTACTAAAAATACAAAAAATTAGCCAGGTGAGGTGGCGGGCGCCTGTAGTCCCGGCTACTAGGGAGGCTGAGGCAGGAGAATGGCGTGAACCTGGGAGGCGGAGCTTGCAGTGAGCAGAGATCGCGCCACTGCACTCCAGCCTGGGCGACAGCGAGACTCCGCCTCAAAAAAAAAAAAAAAAAAAAAAAAAAAAAAAAAAACGATGATTCTGGCTGCTCTGTTGAAAACAGACAACAGAGGGGCAAGAATGGAAGGCAGGGGATGAGTTAGGAAGCTATCAATATCAAATGAGCCATGGTTTGGTTTTTCTAAGATACTGGCAGTGAAGGTGGAGGGTGGGGCCTAACTGTGGATCCACAGTGCTTTGAACATGGCACCTATAGAATTTGTTGACTGACAACATGGGGGGACACCAGTCACAAAAGTTTTTTTTTGTTTGTTTGTTTTAAATAGAGATGAGATGAGGTCTCACTATGTTCAGCCAAGGCTGGTCTCAAACTCCTGAGCTCAGCGGCTCAACTGATCTTCCCACCTTGGCCTCCCAAAGTGCTAGGATTACAGGTCTGAGCCACCACATCTGGCCACAGGAGTTTTAAATGAGGAACTTTTCAGAGGAGAGACTCATGACAGAGGGAATGAGACTTCTAAGTACTTTGTTGTAGAGAGGAGAAAGGGTGGAGAATAGACTTACAAAGCCAATTATGAAGCAGGCACAAAGAGAGTATTGGCCAGACAGGGGTTAGCGTCATTTTTTTTCTTTTCATTTTTTTGAGATGGAGTTTAGCTCTTGTTGCCCAGGCTGGAGTGTAGTAGTGCGATCTTGGCTCACTGCAACCTCTGCCTCCCGGATTCAAGTGATTCTCCTGCCTTAGGCTCCTGAGTAGCTAGGAGTACAGGCGCATGCCACCACGCCCGGCTAATTTTTTTTTTTTGTATTTTTAGTAGAGATGGGGTTTCACCATATTGGCCAGGCTGATCTCAAACTCATCTGCCCACCTCAGCCTCCCAAAGTGCTGGGATTACAGGTGTGAGCCACCACACCTGGCCCAGTGTCATATTTTAAATTAATCTAAACTTACAGGAAATTGAGATTCTATGAAGTCTGTTTACTGGGAATGGCAAGAAAGAGGGGAGATGGGAGTCTCTCTAAACCTATTCTGGTTCCAGAGGCTGCTCAATTCACACAAAAAAGAGAAAGAATGAAACATGGGGGGAAGAAATGGAAGAACTAGAGGTGGAGACTTTCAGCCCCAGAATTTTACCATGTGGAAGTTTTTGTTTGTTTTTGTTTTTTTGAGACAGTGTCTAGCTCTGTCGCCCAGACTGGAGTGCAGTGGCGTGACCTTGGCTCACTGCAACCTCCACCTCCCAGATTCAAGTGATTCTCCTGCCTCAGCCTCCGGAGTAGCTAGGATTACAGGCGCCCGCCACCACGCCCGGCTAATTTTTGTATTTTTCATAGAGGCGGGCCATGTTGGCCAGGATGCTCTGGAACTCCTGACCTCATGATCCGCCCGCCTTGGTCTCCCAAAGTGCTGGGATTACAAGCATAAGCCACCACGCCCAGACTCACCATGTGAATGTATTACACTGACAAAATAAACGTGACAAAATAAAACTGCACATTGATAAGATAAAGGTGTAATTATTGGAATAGTGGTAGTGTTCTAGTACTTTCTTAAGCAAAAACATGGGTAAATGATTTCATAAGTGCAAATTTTTTACAAATACATGTGTTTTAGCTTTTATAAAAATTGCAGAATATAACACATCCAAAAAAGAGTCTAAAATATAAATATACAGTATCAAAAAAATTCACCACTACCCAGGCCATGAAAAAGCAGAACGCCTTCCAGAGTCCTTCCTTTCTCCCCAGGCTCTGAACTCCTAAAATTACAATACTCATTTCCTTTCATAATATATATATATATACACACACATATATATACATACATGTGTGTATATTTACATATATACACACACACATATATATATTTTTTGAGACAGGTTCTTGCTCTGTCTCCCAGGCTGGAGGGCAGTGGTGCAATCACAGCTCACAGCAGCCTCAACTTCCCAGGCTCAAGGGATCCCTGGCTAATTTTTTTTTAAATTATTTTTTGTAGAGACTGGGTATTACAATGTTGCCAGAGCTGGTCTCAAACTCCTGGGCTCAAGCGATCCCCCTGCCTTGGCCTCCAAAAGTTCTGTGGGATTACAGGTGTGGGTCATCGTGCCCAGCCTATATTTTTATTTATAACGTTTGTATGCATCTGGGAAATTTCATAGAAATCTTTTCAAAAGGAAGTTTAGTGAGGTAGAAAGAGTGCAGATTTAGGAGTCAGAAAAACCAATTTTGAAAGGCCAGGCCTGCTATTTACTAAGTGTGTGACTTTGGGCAAGTCAGTCCCCCTCCTCCAGGCCTTTTTCTCACCTGTACATGCAGATGAGACCATCCACGGGTTCCAGGACTGTCGCAAACATTCAAATCATGAACATTTATATACCAAGTTTATTGAGACCTCCTGAGACTTAAACCCTGTAGAAAACAGATGAATCAAACCCAGGCCCCATTCTCGGGAAGCTCACAGTGTGAAAATAGGTAACTACAAAAACACAGCCAATAAGTGCTTTGAAACAAGGAAGAACATAAAAAAGATGTAGTGTTCGAAAACCTGGAATCAAAAACTAACCGCGGAGAAAGGTAGGAGGATGTTCTAGACTCCCAGAGAAGAGCTGGGGAACATCCAGAAAGGCTCTTGCTGCCGACACAGCCACATCCCCTAGGTCTCTGGAGTTCACTGCAGGCTGGCCCATTGCAGGGAGGTGTAGACCACCTTACCATCAGGCTGCGGAGAACAGAGGAGCAGGGTCTTTCTGACGCTGGTTCCAAGGCGCCCAGCAGCAACCAGGTCTTGGAGTGGGATGGTGTCCTCAGGGGCCCAGCACTGAGCGATATAATGGGCGTGGAAGCGGAGGGGGTCACCTGGGGGAAGGAGAGAGGCACTGAAGCAGTGACCAATGGCAGACGGCTGGACGCCACGGGAACGACCACTGGGAGGAGATCTGAGATCATTTCAGCCATCACTATAGATACTCTAAAACAGATGCTCTTGGACACAACTATTCCACTTCTAGGCTTTTTTTTTTTTTTTGAGACAAAGTCTCGCTCTTGTCCCCCAGGCTGGAGTGCAATGGCACGATCTTGGCTCACTACAACCTCTGCCCCCTGGGTTCACATGATTCTCCTGCTTCAGCCTCCCGAGTAGCTGGAAATACAGGCACCCACCACCACGCCCAGTTAGTTTTAGTATTTTTAGTAGAGATGGGGTTTCACCATGTTGGCCAGACTGGTATCAAACTCCTGACCTCAGGTGATCCACCTGTCTTGGCCTCCCAAAGTGTTGGGATTACAGGCGTGAGCCATTGCGCCCAGCCTGATGTCTAACTACTTCTAAGTGAATCTTCTGGATCACAGTAATCATTTAATAAAAGTCGTTAAACTGCTTGCCCAATGAGTTCGGGAGCTCCCAAATGTTTCCTGTCTGTCTATGAATTTCAGAGGCTAAGAGAAAGTGAGACAAAAAAGAAAAATGCAGCTGGGCCTATAATTCCAGCACTTTGGGGGGCCGAGGTGGAAGGATTGCTTGAGCCCAGGAATAGGGACCAGCCTAAGCAACAAGAGACCCCACCTCTATTAAGACAAAAAAAAAAAAAAGAAAAACGCAGAATACATTGGGATCGTATGGAAAGGCACAGCAACCAGAGGCCCCAACCCATACTCACCAGGATAGACCAGGAAGTCACCTCCGAACTTGCCAGCCGCACTGAGGAAGAAGCCTCGCTCCCACAGGTCTCTGTAGATACTGTAGCGCAGCTCGTGGGCAGGGCGGCCGGCGTGGGGCCAGTCTTTAGACTGGACACGCCAGTCCAGGGGCCTGGCCTTGACCGGTCGAGGCCTGGCAGTGGCCAGCTGGACAAGGAGAGCAGATCTGGGCAAGGGGGCTACCCCATTTGAGGGTCCTGCTTGGGAAGACGAGGGGCCTGGTGGGGAGTACAGAGAAGAGTTTGGTAAATTCAAGGGGTAAAGTCTTCTCACCCTCAGGGAGACCCAGGCACTGGATTCCCAGCTAAAATTCCTAAAAGATCTCTCCTCTCCTTCCCGTGGTCCCTGGACTCCACCTCCCATGCTCACCAGCTTCCTCCTGCTCTCCCGAAGCCTGGCCATCACTGGTCTCATCCTCTTTGGCAGCCTGGCTCGAGCCGGCCTCCTGGCTTGAGCTGGCCCCTGAAGCCTGTTCTAGTTTCTGCTTCTTAGCAGCCTGGCCCTCCGTAATCTTCTCCAGGAGCTCCTGACGACGGGTCTCCCGGGCCTCAGCTGCCAAGGCGCTCTGCTCCTGGAAGCTCTCCTCTTGCTGGCGCTTGAAGGATGTCAGGGCCTGAGAAGCACACTTCGCTGGAACCTCCAAGCTTATGGTCCCTTCAGAAGCCAGGAAACTTGACTCCCAGGTCCCGCTCCCACCGAACCCGAGTTCGAGCCCCGCCCCCTTACCAGGCTGTGGTGCCGAGAGTCTGGACGCGGGGCGCTGACCAGAGTCACGGCGCCGATCTCGGCCAAGAGCCGCGCCTCTTCGGGCATCAGCAGCAGCGGGAGGCCCAGGCGCGAGTTCTGGCGGGGCCCGCGGGGCAGGGCGCCTACCGTGCGGCCCCCCACACCCAGGCGCTCCCGGAGGGCCTGCACCGCCTCGGCTCCCCACACCAGGGAGCGGCCGTTCGCCACCTCCACCACCAGCATCCTCCTGCGGGAGCCGGGAGGCAAAGCAGTTACCGAAACAGCTGCGCGCCGCGGACCGCTGCAGCGCACCCAAAGCCTCCGGGGTCTCGGCGAAGCCCCGCCCCTAGGCCTCAGGGGGCGGGGCCTCGCTCAGCCGCCGTTCACCACCTGCTGGGCCCGAGCGCCAGGCCCCGCCCCCGGGCGATCCCACCAGGCCTCGCGGCCGCCGGAGACGAGACGCCGGAGACAAGCCCCCGACCCTCTCCCCTCGCCAAGCCCCCAGGGTCCCGCTCTACCCTTGTGACCCTGCGGTCGGCACCCGCTCTGTGCCCGCACTGCCGTACCTACCATTGCGCCTTGGAGCGTGAAAAACAAACCTCCGCAAGCGCGGCGACACGCCCCCTTACAAAGGTCCATTTTGGCACCACCCTCTTGCAAAGTGGGCGTCCCCCTTCGGGTGTTCCCGTCAGCGGTCAGAAGCTCTGGAGGCTAAGGCACCGCCGAGGCCACACCCTCTTCCGGACGCTCGAGCCTTCGCTCCTCCTCTTTCCGAACGACTGTGATTCGGCTTTCGGACCTCCTCGCTCTCAGACTCCCACAGTACAAAACCCTGCCCCCTCCCGAGCACAGGAAGTTCGGCGTTCGGGCGTCCTCGGCTCCACCGAATCCGCAGCCCCGCCCCCTTCTCGAACGCCAGCAATTTGACGTTCGGGTGTTCTCGGCTCGGCCGAATCCGTAGCCCCGCCTCCTCCCGGACGCAATAGGTTCGGCGTTCGGGCGTCATCGGCTCCCGGCAGCCTCGCGGCCTGTGGCCCCGCCCCCTCCGAGCGCCAGCGCACCCCAGTTGGGGAGTTCCCGCCCTACGACCGAACCCCACAGCCGAAAGCCCCGCCCCCTGGACACCCGCCGTCCACTCTCCGCTCGGGCGGGCTCACCCCAATTGGGAGCGCTCAGTCCGCCTCCTTGCCTCCCTTCAGAATGTCCCACTGTCCACCGATAGAACCAGCGAGTCACCTCATAAACAGTAATTCGCAGTCGAGGTGGAGCCACCCACTGCGCACCGCGCCACGCGCTCCTTGCTCCACCCCCTCATGCCGACACCCTCGTCAACTTCGTCATCCCGCCCCATCAGCGCCGCGGGAAGTCAGGTCCCGCCCCTCGCAGGACCGAAGCCCCGCCCTCCTCCCGCGGGGGCCACCTTGGCTCCGCCCCACTGAGCGCACCTCCCTCTGCCGCTTCCTCTCCTCTACTTGGGAACTTGAGGATCGTCACCCTGGCCCGGTCCCGTAGGCGCACGCCGGCCCTCGGGGTTCCGCCCCTTTGAGGGCAAGTCGCTTTCGCCCCGCCCCCTTGTAAATACTCATGGGTGTCTGGCGAACCTGTTGACTCCGCCTATCATCCTAGCGTCACTTGTACCCAACTATCTACGAAGTAAACCGAAGCTTGTGGCCCCACCCACATCCGGCCGAGTCTGTGGCCCCGCCCACATCGGAACAGTGACCCTAAGGACTCGACTACCTCCGAAGAAAGCCGAAACATGTGGCTCCGCCCACAGTGGCCTCAGCTCTCCGTTCTCGACTATTGCCGAAGTGAGCCGAAGTTTGTGGCCCCGCTTCCGGAGAACTCAAGCTCCCGATTGTGCCCGAAGGAACCCGAAGGGAGACCCCGCCTCATTCCTCACGCCGAGCTCCAGACCCCGCCTCCTTTCCAGAGCCCGTCTGTTCCCCTTCGGGTCCAAAGCTTTTGGCTCCTCCTTGTTCCGAGCCCGAAGGCCCGCCCCTTCACGTACTCGGAGCTCGGATCCCAGTGTGGACCTGGACTCGAATCCCGTTGCCGACTCGCGCTCTCGGCTTCTGCTCCGGGGCTTCTTCCCTGCCCGCCCGGGGCCCTGACCGTGGCTTCTTCCCCGGCCTGATCTGCGCAGCCCGGCGGGCGCCCAGAAGGAGCAGGCGGCGCGGGGGCGCGCTGGGCGGGGGAGGCGTGGCCGGAGCTGCGGCGGCAAGCGGGCTGGGACTGCTCGGCCGCCTCCTGCCCGGCGAGCAGCTCAGGTGGGCCAGGGTGGCGGCGCCCAGTGGCGAGGCGAGGTTACACGGCGGCAGGGTCTCTGCGGGCTGGCGGGTGCGGGGCGGCCCCGGAGGCGCGTTGGAACTCGGGGCTGGCGCAACCGCCTGTGGCTCTGCCGGGGATGCGCTGGGGTGCGCGGGACGGGTTGGGGCTGGGCCTGGGCCTGGGCCTGGGGAGGGGAGGGTGTTCGATCCCCGGGTTCTCAGTAGGAGAGGGGTGTGGAGCTCCGAAGGAGGTGCAGGTTGGAGACCCGGGCTCCTCTGGGTGGTCTCGAAGGAGAAGGGCTGGGGGGTCCGGATATCTGGTTTCACAAGGGCCGGGGGATGGGGGATCCAAAGAGGGGGTCTGGGTTCCTGGATCCTCGCTGGAAGAGGGGGCTCGGAGGTCTAGATTCCTGGGCTGTCGAAGAGGAAGGGTCCGGGAGGGGTGCCGTTTCTGGGTTTTTAAAAGAGGGGCGTCTTCAAATCTGGGTCCCCAGTATGGGTGCGGGGAGTAGCTTTGATTTCTGCGTTCGCAAAGGAGGGGCTTGGGTGCTGGGAGATCCCCACACTTTCCTGGGTTCTCCAAGGACAGGAGAGCTGGAGGCCTGTGCGCTCAAAGGAGGGGCTGGGGGTGGATTCCTGTCTCCTCCAAGGAGGAAGGGGCTGGAGTCTGGGTTGCTAGGTTCTCAAAGGAGAGGAGCTGAGGCTCATACTCCATCATCCTCAAAAACTGGGGTCTAGAAGGCTGGGTTCCTGGATCCTCGAAGAGGGAGGAGGCAGGGGGCCTGGATTCCTGGGTTCTCACTGTGAATCTCTGCCCCTCCCCCAGACCATGTCGCCTGAAGAATGGACGTATCTAGTGGTTCTTCTTATCTCCATCCCCATCGGCTTCCTCTTTAAGAAAGCCGGTGAGTCAGGCTCCCTCCCCAGTGGAAAATAAAGGGGGGGGACCCTCTGGAAGGTTCCAGGCTTATGCTGTCCCTTCCCCCTGCAGGTCCTGGGCTGAAGAGATGGGGAGCAGCCGCTGTGGGCCTGGGGCTCACCCTGTTCACCTGTGGCCCCCACACTTTGCATTCTCTGGTCACCATCCTCGGGACCTGGGCCCTCATTCAGGCCCAGCCCTGGTGAGAATTTGGTGGAGGGAGGAGAGGGAGAGGAGGGGAGAGGGGGAAGCAACCTGTTTCCTCTTTGAGTCTTTTTCAGCTTCTGCCTCATGTCTAGCTGTCTCTTGTTGATCAGCTCATTTCTCTGTTTCATGTTTGTTTGTTTGTTTTTCTTTCTTTCTTTCTTTCTTTCTTTCTTTCTTTCTTTCTTTCTTTCTTTCTTTTTGAGATGGAGTTTCGCTCCTGTTGCCCAGGCTGCAGTTCAGTGGCACGATCTTGGCTCACTGCAACCTCCACCTCCCGGGTTCAAGCGATTCTCTTGCCTCAGCCTCCCAAGTAGCTGGGATTACAGGCATGCTCCACCATGCCTGGCTAATCTTGAATTTTTAATAGAGCTGGGGTTTCTCCATGTTGGTCAGGCTGATCTCGAACTCCTGACCTTGTGATCTGCCCACCTCAGCCTTCCAAAGTGCTGGGATTACAGGCGTGAGCCACCGCATCCGGCCTTCATCTGCTTTTCTTTCTCCCCTGCCTTCTGCGTCTGGTCCCTGTGTGTTTGTCCCAGTCCGCTACATCCATGTCATGGAGAGAGGTGGACAGTGTGTCTGCTGGCCTGGCCACCGTTCATATTCATTCATATCCACCTCTCTCTTCTTGAGCCCTGGACCTCGGAAATAAAGAAAAAGTGGAGGATTGCAGGGTCTTCACCCGAAGCTTCTCTTAACCTCATTCTCTGTTGGTGTGTGTTTCTATGTGGCTGAGCCTCTTCTCCCACTGTTTCAATCATACTCATTCGGTCCCTACATCCACCCTCCTGTCCTCTCTGCCCTTCTGTGTTTCTGTCTCTAAACGAATGGGGAGAGCTGGGGGAGGATTGGTGGCTGGACTCGTGGAGTGAGTGGCCAAGGCCGAGACTTCTGTGCCCAACACAGTGCGCCTCCTGCTTTTGCCCAGCTCCTGCCACGCCCTGGCTCTGGCCTGGACTTTCTCCTATCTCCTGTTCTTCCGAGCCCTCAGCCTCCTGGGCCTGCCCACTCCCACGCCCTTCACCAATGCCGTCCAGCTGCTGCTGACGCTGAAGGTCAGACTCGGGGCTTGCCACTCCCCTCCAGCCTCCCTGTGGGCCCCTTCACCTCCCACTTTACCTCCCCCTTCAGTGGCTCCCCGGGATTTTACCTCCAACACACCCTGGGGGTGGGACGTCACCTCACTTGCTGCCCTGGGCACAGCATTCCCCATTCACATGCCCTTGGGCAGGTCTTCACCTCCCAGCTCCTCCTGGGGTGAGGAAATAACCCACATAGGGTAACAGTAGGTGCCATTGGGTGCTTGCGGTGTGCCAGAGGCCCAGCTGGGTGGTTTACCAACATGCTGTCCTTGAATCTCTGTAGCCAGCTATTTTGCAAAGGAGAAAAACCAGCTCTGGGGAGAAGGTACTTGGTGAAGGGAACAAAACTAGGGCATCCAGGTCTGGCTCCTAATCACCTGGGAAGAGGGGTAAAAACAGAATCCTAGGGCCCACCCCAGACCCACAGAGTCATGGTTTCCTACTGGCGGCTTATCCGTGAACACAGCAGTCATGCTAGGTAGGGAGTGGCCTTCCCAGCATTCAGTGTGCCCTGTGGGAGCTCAGTGGTGGCAGGAGTAGGTTGGATGAGAGAGGGGTTCGTGGAGGAGCATTTCAGGCCGCAGGATGTGTGGAGGGGAGCAGGCTGGGTTCCACAGGCTACACCAGCCACATCCACTTTCTGGGACGAGCAAAAGGGAACAGGCAGCAGGGCTGACACCGTGCTAGGCCTGGCTGGAGACCGTGAGGACATTGGACTTCTTCCCGTGGAGGATTGAGATCTGCTGGAAGAGGGGATTTTTGGTTTGCTGCCAGAAGAGGCAATGTGACCAGTTTTAAATGTTTAAAAATACTCGTTCTGGCTGGGCACAGTAGCTCACGCCTGTAATGCCAGCACTTTGGGAGGCTGAGGCAGGCGGATCACCTGAGGTCGGGAGTTCAAGACCAGCCTGACCAAAATGGAGAAACCCTGTCTCTACTAAAAATACAAAAGATTAGCTGGGCGTGGTGGCACATACCTGTAATCCCAGCTACTCGGGAGGCTGAGGCAGGAGAATTGCTTGAACCCAGGAGGCGGAGGTTGTGGTGAGCTGAGATCGTACCATTGCACTCCAGCCTGGGCAACAAGAGCAAAACTCCATCTCAAAAATAAATAAACAAATAGAAATACTCATTCTAGGCCAGCTGCGGGTGGCTCACGCCTGTAATCCCAGCACTTTGGGAGGCTGACGCGGGTAGATCACCTGAGGTTAGGAGTTTGAGACCATCCTGGCCAACATGGTAAAACTCCGTCTCTACTAAAAATACAAAAATGAGCCGGGTGTGGTGGCTCACACCTGTAATCCCAGCTACTCAGGAGGCTGAGGCAGGATAATTGCTTGAACCTGGAAGGTGGAGGTTGCAGTGAGCCAAGATCCCGCCATTGCACTCCAGCCTGGGCCTTCCCGGGCAAGATTCCATCTCAAAAAAAAAAGAAAAGAAAAGAAAGAAAACTCGTTCTGGATGCTGAAGGAGAATTGAAGTGGAACAGGGCAAGATGGGATGGACTCAGATAAAGGGATCCTCCTTTGTCCGAGTCCAGGTGACAAACTGTGGTGGCTTGATACAGGCCGTTGGCTGGCTGTGGGTAGGTCTGAGTTGCAGCAGGAAACGCGCATTTAGGATGACTGAAGGAGTGGCCACCAATTGGGCAGGATGTAGAAGAGCAAGAAGGGATGGTGCCTGAACCCCAGCCCGGCAGAAGGAGCCGTTCCCAACCCTAGGCCCAGGGGAAATGGGTCAGGTTGTGGTACCTGGATGGAAAAAGGGTTGTGTAGGCCTGGTGCAGTGGCTCATACTTGTATAATCCCAGCGCTTTGGGAGGTCATAGTGGGAGGACTGCTGGAGGCCAGGAGTTTAAGACCAGCCTGGGCAATATAGTGAGACCCTGTCTCTACAAAAAATTAATTTTTTAAATGTTATTTATTTTTAAAGATGGAGTCTCGCTCTGTTGCCCAGGCTGGAGTGCAGTGGTGTGATCTCACTGCAACCTCTGCCTCTCGGGTTCGAGCGATTCTCCTGCCTCAGCCTCTCGAGTAGCTGGGACTACAGGCGCCCACCACCACGCCTTGCTAATTTTTATATTTTTAGTAGAGATGGGGTTTCACCATGTTGGCCGGGCTGGTCTCAAACCCCTGACATCAAGTGATCTGCCTGCCTAGGCCAACCAAAGTGCTAGTGTTATAGGTGTGAGCCGTCACACCTGGCCCTAAATTTTTTTTTTTTTTTTTTGAGACGGAGTTTCACTCCTGTTGCCCAGGCTGGAGTGCAATGGTACGATCTTGGCTTACCGCAACCTCCGCCTCCCAGGTTCAAGCGATTCTCCTGCCTCAGCCTCCCGAGTAGCTGGAATTACAGGCACTCACCACCATGCCCGGCTAATTTTTTGTATTTTTAGTAGAGACAGGGTTTTTCCATGTTGGTCAGGCTGATCTCGAACTCCCGACCTCAGGTGATCCGCCTGCCTCGGCCTCCCAAAGTGCTGGGATTACAGGCGTGAGCCACCGCGCCCGGCCAAAATTATTTTTTTTAAAGGGTGTGTAGAGCCACCCACCTTGAAATGATCTATCAAGGGTGACAGCCAGCCCAAGGCCATCTTACAAGGGAATAAAAGCCCTACCCTCCCTCTCCTGACTTTGTCTCCAGCCAGGGATTTCTACTGACAACCCAGCCACAAGCTGGAAGAAGGAGATCTATTGATATAGGGTGGACCTTGGGACTGGTGGGAAAGGGTGGAGAGTACAACATATTCAGCTCAGTAGTGGAGATGGAAAGAGGCAACAGACTCAAACTTAAGGGATTTCAAGGCGGGCAGATCACTTGAGGCCAGGAGTTCGAGACCAGCCTGGCCAGCTGAGGCATGAGAATTGCTTGCGCCCCCAGGAGGTGGGGGTTGCAGTGAGCCGAGATCACACCAGTATACTCCAGCCTGGGTGACAGAGCAAAACTTGTCTCAAAAAAAAAAAAAAAAAAAAGAGAGAGAGATTAAAGGATCGGATTTGGGGAGTGAGGGAGATTTTTGGCTTGAACAATTTGGTGGCCTGTTGTTTGAGGGGAGACACTAGAAGAGGGTCTACCTTGTGGGGTGGGTAACATCATGTTCCGTTTCCAGTGCGTTTGGGGTGCCTGGAGACATCCGAGTATAAATGCCAATAAGCCACTTGATTGGATAGGTCTGGGGCTGGGGTAGCGTTTGGGCGTCCTCAGCGTGTGGATAGTATCGAAACCTCCGTGATTGCGTGAGAGCAGGTAAGCACAGAACAGGGAAAGGGGAGGAGGGCCTGGGACTGAGCCCTGGGGAACACCGCCCAGCTAGAGGCGTTACACACAACCTAGATGGGCAGAGCTGCGGGCACCCAGCACCCCTTGGCTGCCGAGGGCAGCCGCGCAAGGGAGATGGGTGTGGGGAAGGGCCCAGAGTCTGACCTGGCCCCTTGCCCACCCCCTTCTGCCCAGCTGGTGAGCCTGGCCAGTGAAGTCCAGGACCTGCATCTGGCCCAGAGGAAGGAAATGGCCTCAGGCTTCAGCAAGGGGCCCACCCTGGGGCTGCTGCCCGACGTGCCCTCCCTGATGGAGACACTCAGCTACAGCTACTGCTACGTGGGAATCATGACAGGTGAGTGGGGCTGCCCTAACAACTCTGCCGCTCTGTCTCCTGTGTCCCCTTCCGCCCTGAGTGCCTGTTCTGTGTTCCCGCCCTGCCCAGGGCAACCTCCATCCTAGCATCTGCTGCTGTGAGGGTGGGCATGTGTCTGGGTCTACGTCTCACACCTCCGCTGGACCAGAGCTGCTTTGGGGTAGAAGCTGGCTGTCTCAACCTAAGCAATTCCTTGCTCTTCTCCTTGTAGCGTATTGGGAGCAAAGAGAAGAGATAAAGGAGGTAAAGATCTATGTCAACCTGATGTTTTTGCTTCCCAGACAACAAATATTCACGGCTTAGGGTCCACTTTCAGCTTAAGGAAATATTTTTCATCTGGGCGTGGGGGCTTATGCCTATAATCCTAGCACTTTCGGAGGCTGAGGCGAGAGGATTGCTTGAGGCCAAAAGTTCAAGATCAACTTGGCCAACATAGCAAGATCCCGTCCCTTTATTTTAAACCTTTATTTTTAAAAAATAAATAAATATAAAATTAAAAGGGCCGGGCGCAGTGGCTCACGCCTGTAATCCCAGCACTTTGGGAGGCTGAGACAGGCAGATCACCTGAGGTCAGGAGTTTGAGACCAGCCTGGCCAACATGGTGAAACCCCGTCTCTACTGAAAATACAAAAATTAGCCGGGCATGGTGGTGTGTGCCTGTAATCCCAGCTACTTGGGAGGCTGAAACTGGAGAATCGCTTGAACCCACGAGACGGAGTTTGCAGTGAGCCAAGATCACACCACTGCACTCCATCCTGGGCAACAGAGCAAGACTCCATCTCAAAAAATACATATGTATGTGTGTGTGCATGTGTGTATATATATGTATGTGTGTATGTGTATATATATGTGAAATTTTAAAAAGAAAATATTTTTCATTAATGTTTACCTCATCAAAGGTTTTTTTTCCAATAACAGCTTTAGGGAACTCTAATTCACATACTCATCCACTTAAAACATACAACTCTTGGCTTCTTTAATTTCCTGGAAAAAAAAAAAAACACAAAACATACAACTCCCTGATTTTTAGTATATTCACCGAGTTGTGCAGACATGACCATTGTGTAGTTATATTCAGAACAGTTTCATACCCTGCAAAGAAACCCCATGTCCATCATCCCACAAACCTCCATCCATCCCTGGTAACCAGTAATTGACTTTCTATCTGTAAAGATTTGCCTGTTCTGGACATTGCGCTTACAAATGGAATCATACAACATGTGGTCTTATTTATTTATTTTAATTTGTTTTTTTTTTCCTTTTATCTTCCCATGCTACATTGACCTAAACATACGGCCTTTGTGAACATATAAAAATTTTAACCCCGGTCCCTTCTGTGAATCACACTGCTTCCTCCCTAGGCCAGACCACCATCATATTGTAGCTAAAGTGCCACAGCTATCTCCTAGTTTCTTTCCTTCCTCCTTCCCTCCGTCCTTCCCTTTTCCCTTCTTCCTTCCTTCCCTCCTTCCTTCCCTCCCTCCTTCCTTCCCTCCTTCCCTCCCTCCTTCCTTCCCTCCCTCCTTCCTTCCCTCCTTCCCTCCCTCCTTCCTTCCCTCCTTCCCTCCCTCCCTCCCTCCTTCCTTCCCTCCCTCCTTCCTTCCCTCCCTCCTTCCTTCCCTCCTTCCTTCCCTCCTTCCTTCCCTCCCTCCTTCCTTCCCTCCTTCCCTCCCTCCTTCCTTCCCTCCCTCCTTCCTTCCCTCCTTCCCTCCCTCCTTCCTTCCCTCCTTCCCTCTCCCTCCTTCCTTCCCTCCTTCCCTCCCTCCCTCCTTCCTTCCCTCCTTCCCTCCCTTCTTCCTTCCCTCCTTCCCTCCCTCCTTCCTTCCCTCCTTCCCTCCCTTCTTTCTTCCCTTCTTCACTCCTTCCCTCCCTCCCTCCCTCCCTCCCTGGCTGGAATGCAGTAGCTCAGTCACTGCTCACTGCAGCCTGGGCTCAAACGATCCTCCCGCCTCAGCCTCCCCAGTAGCTGGGAATTCAGGTGCCCTCCACACCTGGCTGATTTTTATTTTTTGTAGTGATGGGGTCTTGCCGTTTTGCCCAGGCTGCTGTCCAACTGTTGGGCTCAAGCAGTCCTCCCAGCTAGGCCTCCCAAAGTGCTGGGATTCCAGGTGTGAGCCACCGCACCGGCCCCTCTGTCTGTTTTTCTGTTACTGTCTCTGTCTCTCTGAGTTTCTTGTCCCCCCTGTCTCTCGTTCCTTATCCCCATCTCTCAGGGTCTCAGTCCCTACCCTTGGGGTCTCCCCGGCGCCCAGTCTCTGCCCCTCTCACTCCCTCTTCCCACCTTCCTTCCAAGCTCCCTGTCCTCCTCCTGCAGACTTGAGCTCTGCCCACCTGCCTGTCTGACCGCGGCCCTCCCTCCCCGCCCCACAGGCCCGTTCTTCCGCTACCGCACCTACCTGGACTGGCTGGAGCAGCCCTTCCCCGGGGCAGTGCCCAGCCTGCGGCCCCTGCTGCGCCGCGCCTGGCCGGCCCCGCTCTTCGGCCTGCTGTTCCTGCTCTCCTCTCACCTCTTCCCGCTGGAGGCCGTGCGCGAGGACGCCTTCTACGCCCGCCCGCTGCCCGCCCGCCTCTTCTACATGATCCCCGTCTTCTTCGCCTTCCGCATGCGCTTCTACGTGGCCTGGATTGCCGCCGAGTGCGGCTGCATTGCCGCCGGCTTTGGGGCCTACCCCGTGGCCGCCAAAGCCCGGGCCGGAGGCGGCCCCACCCTCCAATGCCCACCCCCCAGCAGGTCAGGCGGCGCGAGGGAGGCTTCCCAAGACCCAGCAGCCCCCACCTCCAAGGGCTGGCTCTGCCCCTAGCCGGGAGGAGAGCGGGGAGCAAGGGGCCAGGGCCACCACCTTTTTGAGCAGAGTGTCGCCCCCTCGGCAACCATGGCCTGCCAGCCCCTGTCGGTAGGGAAAAGATCCCTGGTACTGACAGATGCCCCTTGTTGCTAGCGCTTGTCACCCCGCAGTGTGGTGAACTGCCCCCTGTCGCTAGGAAAAGGTGGTAACTTAGCAACCCTGTGCCACCCCTCTGTTGCCACAGAAGTGTCACCCCCCAGAACCAGATTGTTCCTGCTTGCTGGGGATGCCATCCTTTGCTAGTGGTGGGTCACCCTCTGTTGCTAGGGAAACGGTTCCCTAGCAACAGAACGCCACTATTTGCTAGGGAAGCAGGATCCCTAGCAACAGTAGCTCACCTCCTTTTTACCAGAAGTTTTGCTCTGTTGCTGCAGATACGGCACTCCCTGCACTGCCCCTTTGTTGCTAGGAGCTAGCACTGCTCCACCCCGTGGGATGTCCTCACATAGCAGCCCTCAGCAGCCCTCTGCAAGGAAATAGCAATTTCCAATCCCTGACCAGTGCTGTTCCCCAGCAGAGGGCACGCCATTCCTACCAACTACAGTTACAC